>NC_000017.11:4733535-4885050 GCF_000001405.40 Homo sapiens | reverse complement strand
GTTCTGGAGGTGAAAGGTCCTCGTCAGCCTCAGAAGGAGCCGGCGCACCTAGCTTGACCTCAGCATTCTCTGTCAGCAGCACATTCTGCCCCTTGATGTCTCGATGGATCACCTTGTGGGCATGGAGATGGGCCAGACCCTGGGACAGGAGAGCAGGGAAAATTAGCCATGGTGTTGGATGGGGTAGGAAAGAGTAAGTGGGGAGTGAGTTGAGGGGACAAGGAGCAGTCAGTCTGGACAGGGCTGGGCTGAAGGAGCAGACCTTCTCCACCAGGAGCCCAAGCAAGCTGAGCTGTCCTGGAGAGCTTCCTCAGAGAGGTGGCTCCAGGTGAATTCCCAGCAGTTGCAGGGTTACAGGTGGAGAAGCGGCAGAGCTTGGAAACAGGAGCTTGTCTCCTCCAACAGCCTGAGACTTCCCAAGGTGTGGACCCTGCTTCCACATCCCACCCGCATCAGGCCTGCTGCTCCCTAAAGAGGGCAGTGATGTCTCCTCCCAGCGCAGGGAGGATCTTTGCTCATGGAGAAACTCCAGCCAGGGTAGCGGAGGAGAAGACAAGGGGAGGGGCCTTGAGCTCACCCTGAGGATCTCCCTGCAGATATAGGCGATACAGTCCTCCTTCAGGGCGTTGCCTTTTGTGTTCTTTACCAGGTCAGTCACTGAACCAGCACCACAGAACTCCATCACCAGCTAGGATCCCAGGAAGGTACCGAAAGGAAAAGTATCAGTCAGACAAGCCCTCCCACCCCTGCCCCAATCCCCTGCTAGACTCCTGGAGGAGGATAAGAGACCTTGGGGTTAGAACTGGTATGAGCTAGAGAGCAAGGGCCACAGAAGCCTCACAAAGGCCACAGGATTTCCTCAAGTCAAGACAGAGAGGGAAAAAGGCTGGGTGCGGTGGCTCATGCCTGTAATCCCAGCACTTTGGGAGGCTGAGGCAGGCGGATCACCTGAGGTCAGGAGTTCAAGACCAGCCTGGCCAACATGGTGAGCAAGACTCCGTCTCAAAAAAAAAAAAAAAAAAGAGGAGAAGGAATACAGATGGAAAAGAACTGGCAGGGTGGGGCTGGGTTTAGAGTAGGAGTCCAAGGAATCCCTGAAACTGTAAACAAAATGATGCAGGTATATGCATTTTCCCTGAGGAAGGGTCTAGTACTTTCATCAGATTCTCATTGGGATTCCAAACCCTACAGCGGTTAAGAACTACTGCTTTATGGCTGGGCGCGGAGGCTCACTCCTGTAATCCCAGCATTTTGGGAGGCCGAGGTGGGTGGATCACAAGGTCAGGAGTTCAAGACCATCCTGGATAACACGGTGAAACCCTGTCTCTACTAAAAAAAAAAAAAAAAAAAAAGTAGCCGGGCGTGGTGGCGGGCTCCTGTAGTCCCAGCTACTTGGGAGGCTGAGGCAGGAGAACGGCGTGAACCCGGAAGGCGGAGCTTGCAGTGAGCTGAGATTGCGCCACTGAACTCCAGCCTGGGTGACAGAGTGAGACTCTGTCTCAAAAAACAAACAAACAAAAAACCCAAAACAAAATACTACTGCTTTGGGCCGGGCTCAGTGGCTCATGCCTGTAATCCTAGCACTTTGGGAGGCCAAGGCGGGCGGATCATGAGGTCAGGAATTCGAGACCATCCTGGCTAACATGGTGAAACCCCATCTCTACTAAAAATACAAAAAATTAGCCGGGCGTGGTGGTGGGCACCTGTAATCCCAGCTACTCAGGATGCTGACACAGGAGAATCGCTTGAACCTGGGAGGCAGAGGTTGCAGTGAGCCGAGATCGCGCCGCTGCACTCCAGCCTGAGTGACAGAGCAAGACTCTGTCTCAAAAAAAAAAAAAGGAACTTCTGCTTTGGATCAGGGCTGGCCCAAGGCCTGCTTCTATATGGTCAGCAAGTCAAGAATGGTTTTCACTTTTTTTTTTTTTTTGAGACAGGGTCTTACTCTGTCGCCCAGAGTGGAGTGCAGTGGCGCGATCTCAGCTCACTGCAACCTCCGCCTCCCAGGTTCAAGCGATTCTCCTGCCTCAGCCTCCCAAGTAGCTGGGATTACAGGCGCATGCCACCACGCCCGGCTAATTTTTGTATTTTCAGTAGAGACGAGGTGTCACCGTGTTGGCCAGGCTGGTCTTGAACTCCTGACCTCAGGTGATCCTCCTGCCCCAGCCTCCCGAAGTGCTGGGATTACAGGCTTGAGCCATTGCGTCTGGCCTGGGTTTTACATTTTTAAATGGTTGCGGGAAAAAACAAAAAAAGGAATCCTAAATGACATGTGAAAGTGTAAAACATTGAAACGTGAGTGACCGCAGTGAGGGTGCTGGGGTTATAGCCACACTCATTCGTTTACGTACTGACTATTGCTGCTTTCGTGGTACAACAACAGAACCGTGTAGCTGGGACAGCAAATATGACCCGCAAAGCCTGAAATATTTACCATCTGGCCCTTCACAGAAGAAGTTTGCCAGTCCCTGACTTAGAAGCAGAAAGGGGGCTAAGAAATAGTGATTCTCTAGGTCTGCTAGAGACATAAAGATTGCATAGGGTCTACCTCGACAGCTGCAACAGGGAACCTGGGAAGACCCTGAGAGAAACTCCTCCAGCACAGAGAGTAACAAGGCCAGGAGATGAGGAGGGCTCTGGGTCTGCACCTCCCAGGGAGAGCAGCTGAGACCCGCAGGCAGAGAAGATGGCTCCAACCAGTCTTCCTGGAAATCAGCATGCTTGTCCAAGTTTTCACTAAAAGCCACATCCAATGCAGGAAAAGGTTGGGTGGACACATATATTTGCATATGCAATAAAAGTAATTTGCATGTGCCTATTCCTTGGAGAGCAGAGCACAGTGAGAGGAGGGGAGGACCTGTGCCCAACAGGTCCAGAAGGGGGCGCCCGGCCACTAATGCCTCTAGCCTGCCGCGATCTCCACCACACACACCTGGCAGGTAGACCTCCCTGTCACCTTTCTCCCTTTCTTTGTGTGCATGAGTGTGTGTGTTCCCAAAAAGCCAAAGGGCCTTGGAGGCCAGGACCATGGCTCATGCTCATCTATACAGAGTATACAGAAGTGCTTAGTAAGTGCTTCTCTGAATGGCTGTTGGGAGGGGAGACCTGGCGTCAGCGCCAAAACTCCCGACAGCCATTGCCACACTCCCTGCTGCTCCATCCTCAGGGACTGGGCTCAGTACCACAAAGGGTGAGGCTGGGGGAACATGTCAGCACCAGTGCCCAGGCTAGGGAGGGGAATGACTCTTAGGAATGTTCTGGGCCAGGCAGGAGGAATTTGGGGGAGGCCCCAAGCTCTGCAGCAGGCTCTGTTTTGAATGATGACCCAGAAGGGCTGGGTGCTCTGTAGCATCTGGGGTTCTGGGAGGGGTCTGGGCCCTGTTATCTCCCACAAATATTTTGGTTCTGTTGCTTTCCCAGGAGCTGTGCTCAAAGGCAGGAAAATGGATGGACGGCCTCCCCACGGTCTCTCTCCCCTTTGCCAGGATTATATTTATTTATTAAGAGCCGATCGCACAGTGTGAGACACTGGTTAGGGGAAGGGTTGGGGCAAACGCCAGGACCCCTCCCCACAAAACACTCAAAGGATGAGATGCTGCAGTTCATGGGGGCTGGAGTGCGGGGCCATCCATGAGGCAGGAGGCCCCTCTGGGTCCAGGGACAGGGGAGGCTGGGTAGACCGGAGGGAGGGTAGCTGGCAAGGAGAGATGCTGGGCACTGATACTGAGTCCTAGTGAACAGCCCGGAGACAGGGATTGCGGGGAGGGAAGGCGGGCAGGGGGGCGTTTCTCACCCAGAGCTGGTCATCGTTTCCCGGGGGGCTCTTCTTGATGAAGGCTCCGTAGTAGGTGGCGATGTTGCGGTGGTGAGAGTACTTTTTCAGCATGTTGATCTCCTGTTTGATCTCTTCCTCCTCGTCCTAAGCAGATGGGAGGAGCTGAGCCCTGAGACTCCCCCAACACTCCCTTCTCGCTGGTCCGACCCTCCCACTGCCCAGCTCCACTCCCTACCTCCGTGACATCCATGACCTTGATGGCAGCCAGCTGCCCCGTCTTGACATGCCGACCCTGCGGGACAGAGGGATCTGAGTCTATGCTCAGAGGGTGGAGCGTAGAGAGGGCTTGACTCTAGGAGACACAGCTTTTTTTTTTGAGACAGGGTCTCGCTCTGTCGCCCAGACTAGAGTGCAGTGGCGCGATCTCGGCTCACTGCCTGCTCCACCTCCCGGGTTCACGCCATTCTCCTGCCTCAGCCTCCCGGATAGCTGGGACTACAGGCATCCACCACCTCGCCCGGCTAATTTTTTTGTATTTTTAGTAGAGATGGGGTTTCACCGTGTTAGCCAGGATGGTCTCGATCTCCTGACCTCGTGATCCGCCTGCCTCGGCCTCCCAAAGTGCTGGGATGACAGGCATGAGCCACCGCGCCCGGCCCGACTGTTTTCTATCTTACAAAGTGCCCCTCAGCCGGGCGCTGTGGCTCATGCCTGTAATCCCAACACTTTGGGAGGCCGAGGCAGGCGGATCACTTGAGACCAGGAGTTCGAGACCAGCCTGGCCAACATGGAGAAACCCCATCTCCACTAAAAATACAAAAAATTAGCTGGGTGTCATGGTGGGCGCCTATAATCCCAGCTACTCAGGAGGCTGAGGCACGAGAATTGCCTGAACCTGGGAGGCAAGCCGAGACTGTGCCACTGCACTCCCACCTGGGGGACAGAGCAAGACTCCGTCTCAAAAAAAAAAAAAAAGAAAAGAAAAAAAGCAAGTACCCCTCATTGTGGCTACACACCTCAGTGAATGTGCTGCTCATGGGAGTGGACAGAGAGCGCTCCTGAGCCATCATGGCCAACAGAAAAACCACCTACAGTGGACTTCCAAGTTACAGGCTCAATAAAGGCGAAGGGTCTCCTCCCATAAAAACTCAAGACAGATGAGGGAGAAACATTTATGTTCTGTTCCAGCCTCTCTGGCTTGGACTTTCTACAGTCTGAAAGTTAGAGCAGGGCGTGAAAGATACTTCTCCACCCTAACGGAGGATGGAGGCAGTAGGAGAAGGAGGCTAGGGAGGGAGGGGCTTTGCCTCACCCTCTTCTCCTAAGCAAGAGAAAATGCTGCAGTGCTTTCCTGACTCACCAACTCTGGACAGGAGGCCTCTCCCAGAATCAACTTCACCCACAAAGCTTTTTATTCTTGTCGATAGGGAAAGAACAGAGACAGAGCTGAGATTTTAGGGAACTCAGAGAAACACAGAGGGGCCCGCCGACATGTGCTAATGCTCCTGTCACCAGCCCTAGTGGGAAGAAACTTCCTCTTCTTGAGTGTGTCCCCAGCCATTGCCCTCCTCCCCCAACATCCTTCTGAAATTCCCAGTGGGAGCATCTAAGGCTTGGAGAGGAATGCCCAAAGGCTTCCTGGGGACGAGCAGGATGGAGGAAGGTGGCCCCTCATGGGGATGGACTGGCTTTGCCAGCCCATGGGTAATTTTTATCCTCAGCCATTCAAGACCCCAAGCCCAGAGACGCAGGAGCACATGGCACCACTATTCCCATGGCAACAACAAGGCAAGAGATTGCGGGTGGGGTGCCTGTTTCCCCAAAGTTTGCAAGAGAAGGAGTGTAAGAGAAAGGCAGGTGGTCTCAGCGACACAGGAAACACGGGGCTAGAGATGTAGAAGAGACTTGTGACAGTATCAAGCACTCTGTCTGGAGATGAAAAAGCCACGGGCCCCAGGGGGCTCCAGTCAGAGGCAGCATTCACCCTGAGCATCCTCCCTCCCTGCTGGAGCAGCTCCCCCCATCCAAGTGTGAGCAGTGGTCAGGCCACCTCACTCCCTGCTGCAGCGGCTCCCACAATCCAAGTGTCAGCAGTGGTCAGGCCACCTCACTCCCTGCTGCAGCGGCTCCTCCCAATCCAAGTGTCAGCAGTGGTCAGGCCACCTCACTCCCTGCTGCAGCGGCTCCCACAATCCAAGTGTGAGCAGTGGTCAGGCCACCTCACTCCCTGCTGCAGCGGCTCCCACAATCCAAGTGTGAGCAGTGGTCAGGCCACCTTACTCCCCGCTGGAGTGGCTCCCCCCATCCAAGTGTGAGCAGTGTGGTCAGGCCACACGAGAGGGCTGGGCTGGCCAACCTAAAAGCTACCATCAGTGGCTGAGAACCTGCCACTTCTGTCAGGGACAGAGGCAGCTCAAAAGCCAAAAGCCTGAGCTCTGGCCCCAGCAGGCCAGCTGTGGGAGCAGAGGCCACATCCCCTCTGCAGAAGGCCACCCATTAGGTCCCACTACCTCAAAGTCCTGGGTCTCTTTGTGGTCTGGGGAGAGGCCAAACCCACATCTCTGGCCTTAGCTCTCTCTGAATCCCAGGAGAGTTCTGACACACAAGGCCGTATGCCCTTCCACCTGCTCTCACTGCTGCAGGCCACCCTGCCTGGCTGCTGGCCTGTTCCCACCATGTCCGGGACTGGCTCTGCACTCAGGTAGAGAGAGGCATCAACAGTACCTCCTTCTGGGTGCTCTTTCCTCTCCCCCACTCTACCTTTCCAGGGCCCTAGACTCTAGCATCTCCCATAGCCCCCTTCAGACCTGCAGACCAGGAATCTACTTCCTTCCACTCCTCCCAAGACTGCCCTGCAGATGTGGAGGTCATACTTCCACACCATTCGTCTCACCTTGTACACCTGTCCGTAGGTTCCATTGCCGACCACCTCCACAAGCTCAAAGATCCCAGCAGGGTCCTAGGGGCAGGAGACAGAAGAATACTGTGTCAAGACTTTAGAAAAGGATTACAGAGCTAGAGGGGGGTAAAGTGGTATCCAGTCAAGATATGGGAGTGAAGACCAGCATATCAGGAGGGCACGTGGCAGGAACCCTGGTGGCTGGCTGCCCTTTTCCTGGATTGGTTCAGAGTGAATGTTCTACGGGAAAAGTTGGAAGAAGTGAGTGGCCGGGCACGGTGGCTCACGCCTGTAATCCCAGCACTTTGGGAGGCCGAGGCAGGTGGATCACGAGGTCAGGAGATCGAGACCATGCTGGCTAACACGGTGAAACCCCGTCTCTACTAAAAATACAAAAAATTAGCTGGGCGTGGTTGCGGGCGCCTGTAGTCCCAGCTACTTGGGAGGCTGAGGCAGGAGAATGGCGTGAACCTGGGAGGCAGAGCTTGCAGTGAGCTGAGATTGCGCCACTGCACTCCAGCCTGGGCGACAGAGTGAGACTCCGTCTCAAAAAAAAAAAAAAAAAAAGAAGTGAGAGAACATGGAAGTCAGAGCGCAGATGGCTTTTCAAAGACATGTTCCCGATTTCAAACCCACCGAGAAACTGCGTCTGTACCCTCATGTGCAAAATGAGGGTGCCCGAGTACCTTCCTCTGGGGTTGGTACTCACATTTTAAGTGAAGAAATGCCCATCAAATGCTTCAGATGGTTCCTGGCATCAGAGCGTGTGCCCAATAAAAGTTAATGACCATTATTATTATCTTACTTCTTAAAAGCAGGGATGAGGAAAGCTAGCAGGGAGCAGGAATTTCAGGGCCACCATCCTTTTGTCCTTCCCTCTTCCCAGTCCCCCTGAGACTGAGGGCTTCCAGGCCAGGGTTTGAGGCAATTGGGGCCAAAGGGACCTGGACGGAGGGAGTCAGCAGGTGATGGTGAGAAAGGGCCTCTGAGAAGGGAGAACTTTCTGTTCCTACTTTTCTGAGCCAAGCAGTGCCAGAAGGAGACAGCCCGAAGGGCTCAAACAAAGCCTCTAAAGAGGCTCGTCCTCCCCCTGGGCCAAGAGCAGGCAGGCCAGGCCTCAGCAACACAGCTGCGGTCGGGAGGCCACCCACACCCTCCTGGCAGAACCTTTTTTTTTTGAGAGAAAGAAATTGGGAGGTGGAGCTGCAAGCTGAAGAGAGATACAGCCCAGTACTGTCCACACTCCTGCACCTCCTGCAGAATGATGGCTCTTTTTTTTTTTTTTCTTTTGAGACTGAGTCTCACTCTGTCACCCAGGCTGGATGCAGTGGTACAATCACAGCTCACTGCAGCCTCAGTCTCCTGGGCTCAAGCAATCCTCCACCTCAGCCTCCTGAACAGCTGGGACCACAGGCATGCACCACCGCTCCTGGCTAGTTTTTTTTATTTTTAGTAGAGACGGGGTGTCACTATGTTGTCCAGACTGTTCTCAAACTTCTGAGTTCAAGCAGTCCTCCTGCCTTGGCCTCCCAAAGTACTGGGATTACAGGTGTGAGCCACCACGCCTGCCTCAGAGCCGACAGTTCTGACAGTCCTGGTGTTTCACTGGGTGGGCCCGTCCCCACCGCTGCAGGGACCGAGCGGAGGCAGAAAGTGAGGATGGCACTTGGGAATAAACTCTCCAGGCAACACGTGGCCTCTGTGCTGATAATCCTAAAAGCATATAATCTAAAACTCCTTTCTCCTTGATTTTGAAAGCTAACATAGGGTTTCTGGGAGGAAAAAAAAAATCCCACGACCAAAAAAGCCCACATCCATGCCAATAAAAGCACTTCATCCACTGAAGTAATAAGCCCAAGGAAGACGACTTGGGCGTGTTGAAGACCAGAGAGACACCAGCCCAAGGCTTTTAAAAAATGTCCTCACTGTGCACTTTTTCCATTTTCTCAAAGAGGAGCTGGAGAGCGGAGACGTGCCCCGGCACCCTGTGCCTGCCCCATCAGAGCATGTATCACGAGGCATTGTGCTCTACATTTACTTGTCTTATTCACTGGAGAAAGGGACTGAGCCCTCCTTGCTCACCAGGTAATGTCTAGGACCTCACTGAGGCCTGGCACGCGGCAGCCTGAGGAAACAGCCCAGCCTGCTCGGGAGGAAGTATTGACAGCTGAAGGGGGTTCCTTCTCTGTGCTCTGAAGGGGACTGGGCTGACCAGACCAAGAACTTTGTGGGTCTACATTCAATTATTTGGCTTCAGTTAAAGTTACGAAAAAAAAAATCTTGGCCGGGCGCGGTGGCTCACGCCTGTAATCCCAGCACTTTGAGAGGCTGAAGCGGGCAGATCAAGGGGTCAGGGTATCGAGACCATCCTGGCTAACATGGTGAAACCCCGTCTCTACTAAAAATACAAAAAATTAGCTGGGCGTGGTGGCGGGCACCTATATTCACAGCTACTCGGGAGGCTGAGGCAGGAGAATTACTTGAACCCAGGAGGTGGAGGTTGCAGTGAGCCGAGATCACACCACTGCACTCCAACCAAAGCGACAGAGCAAGGCTCTGTCTCGGCGGGGGGAAAAAAAACCTAACAAATTTATTCATTTTTTTTGAAATGGAATTTTTCTCTTGTTGCCCAGCTGGAGTGCAATGGCACGATCTTGGCTCACCGCAACCTCCACCTCCTGGGTTCAAATGATTCTCCTGCCTCAGCCTCCCGAGTAGCTGGGACTACAGGCGTGTGCCACCACGCCCAGCTAATTTTGTATTTTTAGTAGAGACGTGGTTTCACCCTGTTGGTCAGACTGGTCTCAAACTCTTGACCTCAGGTGATCCACCCACCTCAGCCTCCCAAGGTGTTGGGATTACAGGTGTGAGCCACTGCGCACGGCCTCATTTTTGTTTTTTTAGAGTCAGATCTCGCTCTGTTGCCCAGGTGGGAGTGCGGTGGCATGATCACAGCTCACTGTAGCCTTGAACTCCTGGGCTCAAGCAATCCTCCCACCTCAGCCTCCCAACACATTAATATTATAGGCATGACCCAGCATGCACAGCTAAAACAATATTTAACGGGTGTAAATCACAGTAGGATCCACAGGAAAGAGAGGTGTTGTCACTGCAGTGCAGGGGGCTAACAAGAGGTCTTTCTGACCCTGAGAGCTGGAAGGAACCTGAAAAAAGTCATCTCATCCGTCTTCAGTTCTAGATTAGAGGCTCAAAGACCATAGAGTTCCCTACAGAGCTCCCCAACAGAAGAACTCATCCATTCCGGGGCGTCTGAACTGACTGCTGCGAAGTCCTTTCTTGAATCAAACTGTAGCTCTTTCTGAGAAGGAGGGAGACAGGAAAAAGGATCTAGGGTCATAATTTTCTGAACACTCCTAATCTAAGAGGGAAAATACCGTGGGCCTGTTAGAGCCATAATGATCTGTCACCATCAAGTCAAATCACTACAAGTACATTTTAATTTTGTAACCTTGACTCCCAATCTGTCTCCTTCTCGTGTCTGGGCGGCACTGAGGGAGGAAGGAATATTTGAGGTCAGACACCCTGGGTTCAGATATCGACATTTAATGGGTTTCAAGTCGGTTTCCTGAAAACTCCTACTGGAAAGGGTGATTCAGAGAAGCAAGTTGGGGTCCCGCACGTGGCACTCTGGTTGTGGTCTCTCACCCCCTCCCCACCCAGATGCTCCATGTTTCAATAGCAGCACCGCTTTCCCACCACAGTCCAGCCTCTGCCTAATCCTCCTCCTCCTCCTCCCTTTCCTGTATCGCAGCCACCCTGTCCTTTCTCCCTTCAACATGTGCTTGGCTTGTCCACCAACTCAGACCAATCCCTCATGTCCTCCCTCCTGGAACTCTAGCCTCCCCCATGTCTTCCTTCTGCTGCCACTGATTTAACTCTTCCAAAATGGCGCTTTCCTGATTTTACTCTTCTGCCCAGAACTGGTAGTGGGGCTCCCCAATGCTTAGAGAGTCCCAACACCTCAGCCTGACATTTAACGATGCCCCGTTATTATCCAACCACTAAATATCTTCTGAATGAGTGCCTCCATTTGCCTTGCACTGGGCTAAGCCCTAAGCAGGGAAAACCTGTAAGGCAATCGTATCTCATTTCATTCATCCATTACATATTTCCTGAGCACAAACTATGTAATAACTCCCGAATTAGACACAAAAGGGAGCTCACCAATATATGAGAAATATAAAACCTTATAATTTTATAGATTGGCCAAGTACTCAAATATGAAAATGTGGCAGTCTACGATTATATATCATAAACAGCAACCGAAAGCACGAAAGCCGCTGAAATGCTGCTTGGTGTGGTGGAAAGAGCATGGGAGAGGGGTTTTCAACTCTGGCACTAGTCGTGTGCCTCTGTGCAAGTATTTAACTGTTTGAGGCCTCGGTCCTCTCCCACAAGCTAAGAGGGGGTTGGATTGTGTAAAAAGTCCACCTTAGGGTTGGGCGTGATGGCTCATGTCTGTAATCCCTGCACTTTGGGAAGCTGAGAACGCCGGATCATCAGACGTCAGGAGTTCGAGACCAGCCTGGCCAACATTATGAAGTCCTGTCTCTACTAAAAAATACAAAAATCATCTGGATATGGTGGTGGGCACCTGTAAACCCAGCTACTTGGGAGGCTGAGGCAGGAGAATCGCTTGAACTCAGGAGGTGGAGGTTGCAGTGAGCCGAAATTGCGCCACTGCACTCCAGCCTGGGTGAAAGAGTGAGACGCCTTCTCAAAAAAAAAAAAAAAAAAAGAAAAGAAAAAAGAGTGGCGAAGACCATGCTGTGTTGTGGGAGAGCAGGCTGGGTTTGAATGTTGAATTGGGGATGTTAAAGGATACACAGGTACATTCTATTGTCATGCTGTGCTGTGGGAGAACAGGCTGGGTTTGAATGTTGAATTGGGGATGTTAAAGGATACACAGGTACATTCTATTGTCATGCTGTGCTGTGGGAGAACAGGCTGGGTTTGAATGTTGAATTGGGGATGTTAAAGGATACACAGGTACATTCTATTGTCATGCTGTGCTGTGGGAGAACAGGCTGGGTTTGAATGTTGAATTGGGGATGTTAAAGGATACACAGGTACATTCTATTGTGCAGTTAGAAACAAGGATCTGTAAATACAATTTACAGACATTCGTGAGTGTAAGAGTTGGAGATACAAACAAGATATCTAGGGAGAATGTGGATGGCCAAGGGCAACACGTGAGAGCAGCAGAACAGACGCCAGAAGAGGAGATGGTCATGGAGGCTGCAGGGGGATAAGGGGAGTGATGGCCTCGAATGCGGCAGAGCAGCCAGAGGGCACTGAAAAAAATCCCACTGACTTCAGCAGCTCGGAAACCACTGGGAACTGCCGCTGTGTGAGCAGAGGGCAGACAGCGGGGGCTGGAGGAGACAGGGCTGTGCTGAGGAAATGAGGGCAGCACCCTTTCTGGAGAAGTCTAACCTTGAGAGGAAGGGGGAAAATCAGATGACAGCTAGAGCTGGCAGCAAAGTCAGACAATAGGGTTTTCAAAATAGGGAAGATCGTTCATCATCATGGAGGGGAAGAAGCCAAAAAGGGTGGATGTTTGAGGAGTTGATTTTTCTTTTGTTTCTGAGACAGAGTCTCTGTCACCCAGGCTGGAGTGCAGTGCCACGATCCCAGCTCACTGCAACCTCCGCCTCCTGGGTTCAAGCAATTCTCCTGCTTCAGCCTCCTGAGTAGCTGGGATTACAGGCGCGCACCACCAAACTTGGGTAATTTTTTGTATTTTTAGTAGAGACGGGGTTTTACCATGTTGGTCAAACTGGTCTCAAACTCCTGACCTCGTGATCCACCCACCTCGGCCTCCCAAAGTGCTGGGATTACAGGCGTGAGCCACTGCGCTCAGCCAATTTTTGTACTTTTTATGTAGACGGGGTTTCACCGTGTTGCCCAGGCTGGTCTTGAATCCTGAGCTAAAGAGATCCACCTGCCTTGGCCTCCCAAACTGCTGGGATTACAGGGGTGAGGCACCATGCCTGACTCTGTCCATCCTTTTTTTTTTTTTTTTTAAGACTTAGTCTCATTCTGTTGCTCAGGCTGGAGTGCAGTGGTGCAATCTCAGCTCACTGCAACCTCCACCTCCTGGGTTCAAGTGATTCTCTTGCCTCAGTCTCCTGAATAGCTGGGATTACAGCTGCCTGCCACCACACTTGGCTAATTTTTTGTATTTTAGTAGAGACAGGATTTCACCATGTTGTCCAGGCCAGTGTCAAACTCCTGACCTCAAGTGATCCGCCCACCTCGGCCTCCCAAAGTGCGGGATTACAGGAGTGAGCCACTGTACCCAGCCTGTCCATCCTTTTGATTGGAGCCATCCTAGTAGGTGTGAAGTGGTATCTCATTGTGGTTTTGATTTGTATTTCCCTCAGGAGGCTGAGGCAGGAGGATCCTATAAGTCCAGGAGTTTGAGGCTACAGTGAGCTATGGTCATGCCACTGTACTTCAGCCTGGGCAACAGAGTGAGATCACCTCCCTACCCCATCTAGAAAAGGATGGACAATCAAAAGCGTTGCTGAGGGCATGGAGAAACTGAAATTGTCATACACTGCTGCTGGGAATGTAAAATGGTCCAGCCACTTTGGAAAACAGTTTGGCAGTTCCTCAAATGTTAAACAATGAGTTATCATATCACTCAGCCATTCCACTTCTAGGTAGATACTCAAGAAAACTGAGAACATATATCCACACAAAAATATGTAGATGGATGCCCACAGGAGGATTATTAACAACCAAAAAGTAGAAACCACCCAAATATCCATCAACTGATGAACAGATAAATGTGGTATATCTATATAATAGAATGATATTGGCAATAAAAAGAAATGAAGACCAGGTATGGTGGCTCATGTCTATAACCCCAGCACTTTGGGAGGCAGAGGCGGGAGGATCACTTGAGGTCAAGTGGTTTGAGACTGCTTGGCAGGTTTGAGACCAACCTTGGCAAGATAATAAGACCACATCTCTACAAAAAATTTAAAAAATTAGTGAGGCAAGGTGGCATGTACCTGTAGTCCCAGCTACATGGGAGGCTGAGGTGGAAGGATCCCTTGAGCCCAGGAGCGGAAGGCAGTAGTGACCTATGATAGCACCACTGCACCCCAGCCTGGGTGACAGAGTGAGTGAGACCCTGCCTCTAAAAAAAAAAAAAAAAAAAAAATTAAAACAAACAAAACAAAAAAAGGGAATAAACTACTGCTAGATGTTGCAACATGGATGAACCTTGAAGACATTATGCTTATGAAAGAAGCTAGTCACAAAAGGCCACATATTATGTGGCTACATTTATGTGTAACGTCCAGAATAGGCAAGTCTAAAGAGATGAGAAGTAGATTAGTGGTTGCCAGGGGCTGGGAGGAAGGAGAAGATGGGCAATGACTGCTAATGCGTACTGGGTTTCATCTGGGGATAATGAAAAGGTTCTGAAATTAGATAGTGAAGATGGTTGCATAAGTCTGTGAGTATACCAAAAACCACTTTAAAATATTTTATTTTAATTTTTGTTAGTTTGTTTTTTGAGACAGGGTCTCACTTTGTTGCTGAGGCTGGAGTGCAGTAGTGTAATCTCAGCTCACTGCAACCTCCACCTCCTGAGCTCAAGCAATCCTCCTGCCTCAAACTCCCAAGTAGCTGGGACTACAGGTGCGCACCACCACACCTGGCTAATTTTTATATTTTTTGTAGAGATGGGGTTTCACTATGTCGCCCAAGCTGGTCTTGAACTCCTGAGTTCAAGTGATCCGCCCGCCTTGGCCTCCCAAAGTGCTGGCATTACAGGCATGAGCCACCACACCTGGCCTAAAATATTTTAAAAGGGTAAATTTTATGGTATGTAAATTATATTTCAATAAAGCTGTTATTAAAAATAATCCTTCAATATCACTAATAATAGGAGAAATGCAAATCAAAACCCAATGAGATAGCATCTCACCCCATTTAAAGGGTTATTATCAAAAGACAAAAAGGCTGGGCATAGTGGCTCACACCTGTAACTGTAATCCCAACACTTTGGGAGGCTGAGGTGGGAGGATCACTTGAGCTCAGAAGTTCAAGACATGCCTGGGCAACATAGTGAAACCACTCCTCCACAAAAAATAAAACAGTCTCAAAAAAAAAAAAAAAAAAAAATTGGCCGGGCGCAGTGACTCATGCCTGTAATCCCAGCACTTTGGGAGGCCGAGGCAGGTGGATCATGAGGTCAGGAGATCGAGACCATCCTGGCTTACACGGTGAAACCCCGTCTCTACTACAAAATAAAAAAAAAAAGTTAGCTGGGCATGATGGCGGGTGCCTGTAGTCCCAGCTACTCAGGAGGCTGAGGCAGGAGAATGGCGTGAACCCTGGAGGTGGGGCCTGCAGTGAGCTGAGTTCACGCCACTGCATTCCAGCCTGGGGCGACACAGCAAGACTCCATCTCAAAAAAAAAAGAAAGAAAAAAAATTGCGCCACTGCACCCCAGCCTGGGCAACAAACTGAGACTCTGTCTCAAAAATAAATAAATAAATAAATAAATAAATAAACAAATAAAATAATAAATAAAATAAAAATGAATAAATAAAAATAAAATAATTTTAAAAAGACAAAAAAAAAAAGAGATGCTGCCAAGGATATGGAGAAAGGGGAACTCTTATACACTTTTGGTGGGAATCTAAATTAGTACAGCCTCTATGGACAACAGTAAGCAGGTTCCTCAAAAAACTGAAAACAGAACTATCGTAAGATCGGGCAATACCACTGCTGGGTATATATCCAAAAGAGAAAAAATCGTCAGGTACAGTGGCCCACGCCTGTAATGTGAGCACTTTGGGAGGCCGAGGCAGGAGGATCACTTGAGCCCAGGAGTTAGAGACCATCCTGAGCAACATGGCGAGACCCCGTGTCTCTATAAAAAGTACAAAAAATTAGCTGGACGTGGTGGTATGCACCTGTAGTCCCAATTACTAGGGAGGCTGAGGCAGAATTGCTTGACTCTGGGAGGTGGAAGTTACAGTGAGCCGAGATCGTGCCATTGCACTGCAGCCTGGGCGATAGGAGTGAAACGCTGTCTCAAAAATAAATAAATAAATAAATAAATAAATAAATAAATAAATAAATAATAATTTAAAAATTAAAAAATTAGGCCGGGAGCGGTGGCTCACATCTGTAATCCCAGCACTTTGGGAGGCCGAGGCAGGCAGATCATGAGGTCAGGAGATCAAGACCATCCTGGCTAACATGATGAAACCCCGTCTCTACTAAAAATAAAAAAAAATTAGCCGGGCGTGGTGGCTGGCGCCTGTAGTCCCAGCTACTTGGGAGGCTGGGGCAGGAGAATGGCGTGAACCTGGGAGGCAGAGCTTGCAGTGAGCAGAGATTACGCCACTGCACACCAGCCTGCACGACAGAGCGAGACTCCACCTCAAAAAATAAATAAATAAATAAATAATTAGCCAGGTGTGGCAGTGTGCACCTGTGCTTCCAGCTACTTAGGAGGCTGAGGTGGGAGGACTGCTTGAGCCTGGGAGGTTGAGGCTGCATGCAGTAAGCCATGATCATGCCACTGCGCTCCAACCTGGGCAACAGAGTGAGACCCTGTCTCAAAAAAAAGAAAAAAAAGAGAAGAAATCAGTACATGGAAGAGACATCTACACTCCTATATTTATTGTAGCACTAGTTATCATAGCCAAGATATAGCGTTAACCTAAATAAATGCATACATAAAATATGGCATATCTATACAATCGAATATTATTCATCCATAAAAAGTAATGAAATCTGTCCACTTGCAGCAACATGGAAGAGCCCAGAGGATATTATGTTAAGTGAAATACACCAGGCACAGAAAGACAGACATTACATGGACTCTCTCATATATGGAGACTAGAAAGAGCTGGTCTCAAGGAGGTGGAGAGTAGAACGGGGGTTGCCAGAAGCTGTGAAGGGCAGGGGGATGAAGAGAGGCTGGTTAATGGATTCAGAAATACAGGTGGATAGAAGAAACATTAGAAGGTTCTAGTGTTTGACAGCACAGTAGGGTAACCACAGTTATCAATACTTTATGGTAAATTTAAAAAGAGCTAGAAGAGGGTTGGGCACGGTGGCTCACGCCTGTAATCCCAGCACTTTGGGAGGTCGAGGAAGGTGGACCACCTGAGGTCAGGAGTTTGAGACCAGCCTGGCCAACTGGGTGAAACCCCATCTCTACTAAAAATACAAAAATTAGCTGGGCGTGGTGGTGTATGCCTGTAGTCCCAGCTACTCAGGAGGCTGAGGCAGGAGAATCACTAGAACCTGGAAGGTGGAGGTTGCAGTGAGCCGAGATCATGCCATTGCACTCCAGCCTAAGCAACAGAGCAAGACTGTGTCTAAAGATATTAAAAAAAAAAAAAAAGAGCTAGAAGATATGGAATGTTCTCAACAAAATAAGCGTTTGAGGTAATGGATGCCCAAATTATGCTGATTTAATTATACATAGTATGCATGTATCAAAAGATCACATGTATTCCATCAATATGTATAATTATGTATCAATTCCTTTTTTTTTTCTTTTTTGGAGACAGTCTCACTCTGTCACCCAGGCTGGAGTGCAATGGCGCCATCTTGGCTCACTGCCACCTCCGCCTTCCAGGTTCAAGCAATTCTCCTGCCTCAGCCTCACCAGTAGCTGTGATTACCAGCCTCCCAAGTAGCTGTGACCACCATACCTGGCTAATTTTTGTAATTTTAGTAGAGATGGGGTTTCGCCATGTTGGCCAGGCTGGCCTCAAACTCCTAACCTCAGGTGATCCGCCCACCTTAGCCCCCCAAAGTGCTGGGATTATAGGCGTGAGCCACTGTACCTGGCCCAATTTTTAAAAATTTTAATTATTATTCTTTTTTAGAGCTAGGTCTCACTATGTTGCCCAGGCTGGTCTCAAACTCCTGGGCTCAAGTGATCCTCCTGCCTCAGCCTTTCAAAGTGTTAGGATTACAATTGTGAGCCATTGTACCTGACCGTGTACCTATTTTTTTAACGCATTTTTAAAAATCCTAAGAGGTAGGGCATGGTGGCTCATACCTGTAACCCTGAGATTACAGGTATGAGCCACTCAGGAGACTGAGATAGGAGGATCACTTGAGCCCAGGAGGATGAGCCTACAGTGAGCTGTGGTCATGCCACTGCACTCCAGCCTGGATGACAGAGCAAGACCCTGGCTTAAAAAAAAAAAAAAAAAAAAAAAAAAACAGTCCTAAGAGCACCTACTATAGTGTGCAGTTTATTATTATTATTATTATTATTATTATTATTTTGAGACGAGTCTCACTCTGTCACCCAGGCTGGAGTGCAAGCGGCACGGTCCCGGTTCACTACAAGCTCCGCCTCCCGGGTTCACGCCATTGTCCCGCCTCAGCCTCCGGAGCAGCTGGGACTACAGGCGCCCGCCACCACGCCCGGCTAATTTTCTGTATTTTTAGTAGAGATGGGGTTTCACCACGTTGGCCAGGATGGTCTCAATCTCCTGACCTCGTGATCCGCCTGCCTCGGCCTCCCGAAGTGCTGGGATTCCAGGCGTGAGCCACCGCGCCCGATCGAGTTTTTTGTTTTTTAATTGAGATGCAGTGTTGCTCTGTCACCCAGGCTGGAGTGCAGTGCCAGAATCATGGCTCACTGCCGTCTCAGGCTGCTGTGCTTAAGCAATCCTACCTCAGCCTCCCAAGTAGCCGGGACTACAGGCGTGTGCCATCATGCCTGGCTATTTTTTTTTTTTTTTTTGGTAGAATCAGGGTCTCACTATGTTGCTCAGAATTTGGTTTCTTATTCTTGGCTCTGCTGCCAACAGGCTGTGTGTTCAAGGACCACTTAACTTCTCTAAGTTCCCTTTCAGTAAGATAGAAATTTTTTTTTTTTTTTAATTTTGAGACGGAGTCTCACTCTGTCACCAGGCTGGAGTTCAGTGGCGCGATCTCGGCTCCCTGCAACCTCCAACTTCCTAGTTCAAGCGATTCTCCTGCCTCAGCCTCCCGAGTAGCTGGGACTACAGGCACACCCCACCACGCCCAGCTAATTTTTTGTATTTTTAGTAGAGACGGGGTTTCACCATGTTGGCCAGGATGGTCTTAATCTCCTGACCTCGTGATCCATCTGTCTTGGCCTCCCAAAGTGCTGGGATTACAGGCGTGAACCACCGCGTCTGGCCCAAAAACTTTCTAACTCTATGATTCTAAATGGGTCCACACTCCATGAGGCTGCCAACCTAACGACTATTAATTCCTTCCTATTGTGTACCAGAAACTGTGCTAGGCTGGGGAATAGAACAGTGAGTAACTGAAGCAGTCCCTACCTTACTGGTGTTTATGTTCTGAGGAGAGAGGCACACATTAATAACCTCTACAATTAATTGTGTAATTACAGCTGTGGTATGTCTTTGTTTTCTTTCTTTCTTTCGTTGCATCTCAGATGACACAAACCCATGTATCGTTTCTTTTTTGAGACAGGTTCTCACTCTGTCACCTAGGCTGGAGTGCAGTGGCACAATCATAGCTCACTGTAGCCTCGAACTCCTGGACTCAAGTGATCCTCCTGCCCTAGCCTACCAGGTAACTGGGACTACAAGCACACACACCACTCTGCCTGGATACTGGCTTTTTTTTTTTTTTTTTTTTGGTAGAGACGGGTCTCCCTGTGTTGATCAGGCTGGTCTCGAACTTCTGGGCTCAAGCGATCCTCCTGCCTGTCTTCCAAAGTGCTGAGATTACAGGTGTGAGCTACCATGCCTAGCCTATTTTAATGTTTTTTTCATAGATCACAATTTCATCATTTTATTCTATGTAGCTGTTCCACATAGGCACATTTGTCCTTATGAGAAAAAGGGGAAGAAAAAAAAATCCTTGAAACTTTCCCCCTCTAGTCCAGTGTCTGGTTATTTATTTATTTATTTATTTATTTTTTGAGACAGTGTCTCACCCTGTTGCCCAGGCTGGAGTGCAATGGCGCGATCTCGGCTCACTGCAACCTCCACCTCCCGGGTTCAAGGGATTCTCCTGCCTCAGCCTCCCAAGTAGCTGGGATTACAGGCGCCCACCACTACACCCGGCTAATTTTTTGTGTGTTTTTAGTAGAGACGGAGGTTCACCATGTTAGTCAGGCTGGTCTCGAACTCCTGACCTCAGGTGATCTGCCCGCCTCGGCCTCCCAAAGTGCTGGGATTACAGGCGTGAGCCACCGCGCCCGGCCCAGTGTCTGGTTATTTAAATACACATCTCATGTAAAACAGAAAAGATAAAAAAGTAAAGATAAAAATAAAAACGTATGGAGTGACACTCCTCCTGCTGCTGCCAAGTGTGTCTCTTGGACCAAAAAGGAGGAAGGAAGGTTTTGGTCGTGGAAAGAGCTCTGGTCTGTCTTATGTGCTGTGAAGTGCAGGGTGCCAAGAGAGCACACCTGACCGAGGCTGGGGAGCCAGGAAAAGGTTCTTTTGAAGAAGACATATTCAAGCTGCGGTGGTCTAACCGGCTTTCCAGTACCCTCCTCTAAACAATGAGTGCTGTAATCTGCCCCATCCTTCCGGTCCTGATCTTTACCACTTTAGGAGCTTGCCCATATCGGCCATCTCAGAGATCACTGTCATTGTCCACTCTCCCCATAGCTCTTTTTTTTGAGATGGAGTCTCACTCTTGTCGCCTAGGCTGGAGTTCAATGGTGCGATCTCGGCTCACTGCAACATCTATCTCCCGGGTTCAAGCGATTCTCCTGCCTCAGCCTCCCCAGTAGCTGGGATTACAGGCACCCACCACCATGCCCGGCTAATTTTTGTATTTTTAGTAGAGATGGGGTTTCACCATGTTGGCCAGGCTGGTCTCGAACTCCTAACCTCAGGTGATCCACTCCACCTCGGCCTCCCAAAGTACTGGGATTACAGGCATGAGCCACCAGGCCCGGCCCCCATAGCCCTTTATTTAATTAATTAATTATTTATTCTTTTTGAGACAGAGTTTTGCTCTTGTTGCCCAGGCTGGAGTGCAAGGGTGTGATTTCGGCTCACTGCAACCTCCGCCTCCCAGGTTCAAGCGATTCTCCTGCCTCAGCCTCCCGAGTAGCTGGGATTACAGGCATGCGCCACCACGCCTGGCTAATTTTGTATTTTTAGTAGAGACGGGGTTTCTCCATGTCGGTCAGGCTGGTCTCGAACACCCGACCTCAGGTGATCCACCCACCTCAGCCTCCCAAAGTGCCGGGATTACAGGCATGAGCCACTGCACCTGGCCCCCATAGCCCTTTAATAATGACACAGCTAGGCCGGGCAAGGTGGCTCACTCCTATAATCCCAGCACTTTGGGAGGCCGAGGCAGGCGGATCATTTGAGGTCAGAAGTTTGAGAGCAGCCTGACCAACATGGTGAAACCCCGTCTCTACTAAAAATACAAAAATTAGCTGGGCGTGGTGGCACACACGTGTAATCCAGCTACTTGGGAGGCTGAGGCAGGAGAATCTCTTGAACCCGGGAGGCGAAGGTTGCAGTGAGCCGAGATTGCGCCACCGCACTCCAGCCTGGGTGACAGAGTGAGACTCCGTCTCAAAAATAATAATAATAATAATAATAATGAGACAGCTAGCAATTTTTGAGCATTTCATTTGTTCCTGGTACTGCCGAGCACTTTAGAAGTATAATCTCACATGACAAACTTTGAAGTGGGTACTATTGTTATACTCATTTCACAGGTGAAAAAGTTTACAACAATTAAACACTTGCCCAGGCTAGGAAGTGGTAGAGCCAAGATTTGACTGAAAAATCTGACCTCAAGGCCTGCAGTGTGCTTTGCCTGGCTCATAGCTCCTGTTGCCTAAAGGACCGGGTTTTCCACCATTTCCTCCCCTTTCTAGCCCCAGCAACAGTTTAAGACATGAGTTCCTGACCCCAGGGAGCCAGTCCAAGATTGAAGGAAAAAAGGTAACCTAAGGCAAACTTCCCCTTCAGCCATTTCAAATAAAAGGGAAGATGCCAAAGAGTGCATGGAGAGTCAAGGCTGGAGAGCCCATTATTATCTCAGGTAAAGGAAAGCAGAGGCCATGAGTGGGCAGAGTGGCCACACTGTACACAGAGAGCACAGCAGACATGGAAGGAGAGGGCATGGGAACTACAGGGGGAGACAGAAGCGGGAGAGTGACCAACTGACTCTAGCTATCCCCCGCTGTTACCATTAACCCAGAACCACCCTATGGTTTCAGTTCCAAGGAACTGTCTGGGCTGCCATTCAGGTGCCTAGGTTCGAACAAGATTCTTTTTCTTTTCTCTTTTCTTTTCCCTTGGCATGTGAAGTGAGAAGGATTTTTTTTGGTTTTTGTTTTGTGAGGCAGGGTCTTGCAATGTTGCCCAGGCTGGAGTGCAGTGGTGCAATTGCAGCCCACTGCAGCTTCAACCTCTTGGGTTCAAGCAGTCCTCCCACCTCAGCTTCCTGAGTAGCTGGAACCACGGGCATGCACCATCATGCCCAGCTACTTTTTAAAACCTTTTTTGTAGAGATGGGATCTCACTGTGTTGCCCAGGCTGGTATTGAACTCCTGGGCTCAAGCAATCCTGCTGCCTCGGACACACAAAGTGCTAGAATTACAGGCATGAGCCACACGCCCTTCCAAGAAGGGTCTTGACTTTAAATAAAAAATAATATTGACAGCCTGGCACTGTGCTAAGTGTTTTACACACACCAACTAATTTTTCTTTTTTTTTTTTTGAGATGGATTCTCACTCTGTCACCCAGGCTGGAGTGCAGTGGCGCAATCTTGGCTCACTGCAACCTCCACTTCCTGGATTCAAGCAGTTCTCCTGCCTCAGCCTCCCAGTAGCTAGGATTACAGGTGCCCGCCACCACGCCAGGCTAGTTTTTGTATTTTTAGTAGAGACGGGGTTTCGCCATGTTGGCCTGGCTGGTCTTGAACTCCTGACCTCAGGTGATCCACCCGTCTCGGCCTCCCAAAGTGCTGGGATTACAGGCGTGAGCCACCGTGCCTGGCCCACACACCAACTAATTTAATCCTCACCTAACTCCATGAGGTAGATATTATTATTATTCTCACTTTACAGAGGAGGAAACAGGCTCAGGGAAGGTAAATAACTTGCCAAGGTCAAACAGCTATTTCAGTGGCAGAGCCAGGGTTTGAATGCATGTAGCCGGCTCGAGTCTCTGCTGCATCTCTCCCTTTATTTGACTTAGCTAGAGCAGATTCCTTCCAACCCAACAAGCCAGACCACAACATCTCTATTTAACCTTTCACAGGACCAAGCCTCATCTCCACAAGTAGAACAGAAGCTCATTAAGGGCAGGAGCCATTTCTAGGTGGTACTTGGGTATACATGGAATGAGAATTAGGCGGCCTCACACTGAGATGGGTGCCCGAATGAAAACAGCAGTACTTTATCTGTGCAGCTCTGAATCTATAACATACACAAAACGACTATTGTCGCATAGTGAGCATGTGGGGTAACAGTCTGCGGCTGCTTTCTCTCACTCACTAGAGCTTCTATTACTAAGCATGTCTTATCTCCTCACATTTTACATATAATAAAATTGTGTAAAATCTTTGGTTGGGCCGGGCATGGTGGCTCACCCTGTAATCCCAGCACCTTGGGAGGCTGAGGCGAGTGGATTACCTGAGGTCAGGAGTTCAAGACCAGCCTGGCCAACATGGTGAAACTCTGTCTCTACTAAAAATACAGAAAGTATCTGGGTGTGGTGGCACGTGCCTGTAATCTCAGCTACTAGGGAGGCTGGGGCAGGAGAATCGCTTGAACCCAGGAGGCGGAGGTTACAGTAAACTGAGATCGTGCCACTGCAATCCACCTTGGGCAACAGAGTGAGACTCCAACTCAAAAAAATAAATAAATAAAAACCTTTGGTTGATGGAGAGGCTCAAGAAGATACCATACAAGTGTTGGACTCAATTATTGAAAGGTGGGGCTCTGGAATAACAGACAGAGCGCCTCATGTGGGTCGAAATAGATGTCGCCTGGCACTGTGCCCTGCGTTGTTTACGATGTATAATTGTACATATTGCTTTGCTCAGCTATGAAGAGCCAACAGTGATGTTAACGCAGAAACTCTTGGTAGATGTCTCGTCTCTCGCAGCTCCGCATACAATGCAAGGCACTGGCCACACCAGGCTGGCCCCAAGCAGCACGTCCTGGTGACACTGCACTCGCCTCACTAGGGAGCTGCCTGTGGTTTGCTCCTGTTCCCCTCACAGCTCCAGGTATGTTCTGAGTATATACGAGGTCACCAAATCGTCGCTGATTTAATGATTCAACGCCAGACAGAGCAAGGCGGAGCTGGGTTTGCTCAAGGAAAGCTTTTCAGAAGAAGCTGAGGAACAAGGGCTGGAGGGAGAGAAGAGGCACAAAGCTGGTGGCCTGAGGCAGGCAAGGGGAGGGCACGAGCTGTCCCCTCAGACTCTGCTCCTCTGCCTTAAATCCCCCTTTAACTATTTCAAGTGTATTAGTTTCCCCAGCTTCAAAAGCTTCCCGAAGTTGCTCCCTAAGGCTTCGGCATCTCCCCAGCACGTGGCGCGCACTGGTGCTGTACAGTTAAGGGACACAGCGCCGTGGTCCTTCCACCTGCACCACGGTCTCTGCTCCCTAGAACTGACCAGGGGAGAACCAGGCACACACCAGCCTTGAGCCCTTGCTTCTTTGCTCTGCTCAGCCTCAAGGGACTCCCTGGACTCCTCCCACAGCTCCTACCTGGAGGAAAAACTAGGGGCAAATGTGAGCCCGTTGCAGCTCTCACGGTGCTGCCTGGGGCCCAGCATCAACAGACATTTTCCTTTCCTTTCCCCAAAACCAAAGTCATGTTAGTGTAGTAGTAGTAGTACAGACTGAGAGGAGATTAGAAACAAAGGGTTTGATTATTTCCCAAGAGAAAATGCAAGAGTTCATGCATAAACTGTTTCCAGAACGCTGTCCGGTTGGGAGGCTGGGACACGAACTGAAACTCAGAGCCTAGGAAGCGTGAGCCAAGGCTGTGGGGCCAGGAAAAGGAGAGAAGGTGAAACCCCCGTCAGTCCCTCACAATCAGCACGTGGAAATCTAGAAATGCAGGAGAGGCCTGGACTCATGGTGGAATCCAGAATGAAAGAGGTGGACGACTGAATGAGCAGAAGGAGGCAAGCACCAGAGGCTTGGGGGTCACATTTCTTGGAAGTGGCCTGGAGCTGGCAGATGAGAACTCTGGCTACCCGTCCTCATTCCACTAACAGTAGCTCCTCTAACGACATGCCCCTTCCCTCTGTACCCCGCTCCGCATGCGGCAAGTAGTTCCCGGACGCGACCCTTCCCCCTGTACCCCGCTCCGCATGGGGCCAGTAGTTCCCGGACGCGCCCCTTCCCTCTGTACCCCGCTCCGCATGCGGCAAGTAGTTCCCGGACGCGCCCCTTCCCTCTGTACCCGGCTCCGCATGCGGAAAGTAGTTCCTACGGTGTTGGTTTTGCATGTAGATGAAACCCTTTGAGGGGTAAAGGTTTTTTTTTTAAGTACTTTAGCAAATGCAAACTGTTATTATCAATATTAGCCAGCATCTTTTTTTTTTTTTTTTTTTTTTTTTTTGAGATGGAGTTTCGCTCTTGTCACCCAGGCTGGAGTGCAATGGCAAAATCTAGGCTCACTGCAACCTCCGCCTCCCAAGTTCAAGCGATTCTCCTGCCTCAGCCTCCCAGGTAGCTGGGATTACAGGCGTGTGCAACCACACCCAGCTAATTTTTGTATTTTTAGTAGAGACAGGGTTTCACCATGTTGGCCAGGCTGGTCTCGAACTCCTGACCTCATGTGATCCATCCGCCTCAGCCTCCCAAAGTGCTGGGATTACGTAGCCAGTGTCTTTCTTAAGTGCCTGTCAAATAATGCTCCTGGTTTATAAGTGCCCCTGGCTCTACCTTCTGGGTGCTCAGACACCAACACAGAGAGAACAGAATTAACATCCTGAGAAGTTACATATGCTAAAATATAAAGAGTAAGATTGTGAGGAAACTGCAGGGGAAGCAGGTAGGTTAGGAAAAGGTATCCTCACTTTTCTGCTGACCGATGAGTCATAATTCTTGAATTTCGGTGCTGGAAAGGTCCATTAAGCATTCCAGGAGATTCTAGGGAGCTTCCAGAATGGTAGAAGAACTGGAACCATAAAGCCTGGGGAAGGGATGGAAGTCCTTGGGAAAGAAGCACTAAACAGCCCAGTGGAGACAAGGAAGGACTGGTCTCTCCTGTGCTTCGAGCCCAGCAATGATTATTCACTCAGATATGCCCCGGCAGGTCCTGCTGCTAGAGCCAGTGCTGTTCCCAGACCCAGGCAAGGTGCCATCCTACCCCTGACAGGAAACAGGGCAGGAGGTGGGGCTGCCCCGGGTGCCTGGTGTTGGGAGGGGCCGGGGGGAATCCCGGGTGTTGGGAGGACAAGGCAGAGTCAGCTAGCTGTGAGGCTAGGGGAGAAGACCTCTCTAGTCTGGGAGAGACCCCTCCTTTCCTAGCTCCTTGTACTTCCAAAAAGGCAGGCTTCCTGCTGTTACTAACCATACCAGGACTGACTATACAGCAGCCAGAAAGATTCTGAGAAACCTGTGATAGAGAAAAACAGATGCGGAAGCGGGAGAAGAGAATTTCATAGGACACTAGGGAAAGAGAATGGGAACTTGTGGTCTAAAGAGGGAACCAAGTCTGGCCAACATGGTGAAACCCCATCTCTATTACAAATACAAAAATTAGCTGGGCATGGTAGTGCATGCCTGTAATCCCAGCTACTCAGGAGGGTAAGGCATGAGAATCACTTGAGACTGGGAGGCGGAGGTTGCAGTGAGCCGAGACTGCACCACTGCACTCCAGCCTGGGCAACAGAGCAAGACCTCGTCTCAAAAAAAAAAAAAAATTAAATTTAAATTAAAAAAAAATAAACAGGGAACCAACAAGAGCTGGCAGAACAGAATAAAGTCTCAAGCCAAATAACTCCCTTGCCTTGGAAGAACAAGGCTGCCAGCGTCTTGGAGCCTCTGTTTATCGGGTACCAGTTCAAAGGACAGTGAGCCTGAGCTGGCCTGGGAGGCCCTCCCCCCTCCCAGATGAAAACAATAGGCCTGTTTTCCTGAGCTCTTCCTGTAATCCAGAAGGCCCACACAGAGAGGAAGAGGGGGGCAAAGGCAGTGGCTATACCCAGTGGGGGAGGGGATATTTAGCCTCCCATAAATTCATCAGCTCCCTTAAAGACACCCCAAAACACCAACAATCTAAGTGTTAAAATAGTGACTGCTATGCAAATGGAGCTTTAAAACCTATCCCTTAGCCCCAGTACCACCAGATTACTAACCCTAAACCCCATCTGTAGGAGATATTCTGAAGCCACCACAGGGGAAGGGATAAGGGCCTGAGAGACAAAGGACAGATGGGGTCTCCCCAACAATTTAAGTTAAGTTCCACAAGGATACAGTACTGGCAGAGATTTGGAAGTAGGGGCAAGTATTCTGACAGAAGGGTGGTGTCTTAGGCACCCTTCAATTAGGAGTAGCTAAAGGCTGTGTGTGTGTCTGTGTGTGTGCATAAGAAAAGAAATAGGAGGGTGTGTGTGTGGTAAGAAAGAGCATCTTGGCTGGGCGCGGTGGCTCACCCCTATAATCGCAGCACTTTGGGATGCCAAGGCTGGCGGATTGCCTGAGCTCAGGAGTTTGAGACCATACGGGGCAACATGGTGAAACCCCATCTCTACTAAAAATACAAAAAATTAGCTGGGCATGGTGGTGCGTGCCTATAGTTCCAGCTACTCGGGAGGCTGAGGCATGAGAATGGCTTGAGCCCTGGAGGCAGAGGTTGAAGTGAGCTGAGATCGCACCATTGCATTCCAGCTTGGGCTACAGAGTGACACTCCATCTCAAAAAAAAAAAAAAAAAAAAAAAAAACCAGCATCTTTGCTGCCACTAGTCCACTGTCTTTGCACTCACTCTCTGCCATGCCCATCCTTGTCCCCCTCCCCACTCACAGACATGTCCAACAACAGCCCCGAGTATGCTTTGGTTTTCACCATCTCGGGTGCTATGGCCACCATGGTCTCCAGTGGCCTGGGTGCTGCCTGTGGCATGGCCAAGAATGGCACCGGCATCATGGCCATGTCTGTCATGTGGCCAGAGCTGATCCACATGAAGTCCATCATCCCAGTGGTCATGGCTGGTATCATCACCATCTATGGCCTAGTGGCGGCTGTCCCCCCTGCCAACTCCCTGAATGATGACAACAGTCTCTATAGCAGTTTCCTCCAGCTGGGCGCTGGCCTGAGTGGCCTGGCAGCCGGCTTTGCCATCGTCATCGTGGGGGACACTGGCAAGTGTGGCACTGCCCAGCAGCCCCGACTATTTGTAGGCATGATACTGATCCTCATCTTTGCCAAGGTGCTCATTCTCTCCACAAAGCAGCCCCTCTCAAAACCCACCAGTCACAGAATACGATGTAAAGACCACCCCTCCTCATTCCGGAACAAACAGCCTGACACGCATGTGCTGGGCAGCTGGCCCTCAGTAGTTGATCTTCTAAGTGTACAGTGTCCTCGTGTTCATCGTCTGTTGGCCAGGCCTTGCCCCCTCCCGCCCCATGCTGTGGACATCTGAACCTACTCATCACCCATCCAGGTCCCCGACCAGTGAGGACTCAGGCCCCTGGATGCCCCACCCATCTCCCTTGAGTACTCTATGTATAAGGATGAATTAGAGTTGTCATTTTCTCTTCATTAGATATTTATAAAGATTTGGCCTGTCCATACCCCTGTGGAGCAGCCCTCATCTCCCACCTATCTGTCACGTCATGGAGGTTCCCATTGCGGAGGCTCCTTGGATGGAACCACCCTCTCCAGCCCGCGCTGCCAGGCCCTGTGCGGCAGCTGTGTCTGATAAAGTTCTCAGATGTCGGGGGAGGGAAAGAAAAAAAAAAGAGAGTGTGAGTACGTAAGAGAGAGAAAACGGGAGTGGGTGTGTGAGCTGGAGACAGGGAAGTGGCAGGAAAAGTCTGATAAGATCACCTCCTTCCTACCCAAGCAGAGATACTGGACACAGCCCCTCAAGGACCCAGAGGGTAAGTAGAGCGCGAGATGCTTGCCTTTCTCAATGGGAGGTGGCCTCCCAGGCCTGAAGAAGTCTCCATTTACCCCAGAGCCAACTAGGAAGCAGGTAGACAGCATCATCCCCACTTATACCCCAAGGTGCTTGGGGTGAATGGCAGGCCCAAAGCCAAAGCATGAGACAGATTAAATGTTCCTATGGCGAGAGAAGGAGAAGGGGTCACCAGCATCTCTCCACTGAGCAAATGAAAGGAAGAGAGAAGGCAGGCTGATACCCTCATCAATTTCCTACTGTCCATGATATACCACCATCAACTGGACTTTTTTTTTTTTTTTGAGATAGAGTCTCGCTTTTGTCACCCAGGCTGGAGTGCAGTGGCATGATCTCAGCTCACTGCAACTTCCATCTCCCAGGTTCAAGTGATTCTCCCGCCTCAGCCTCCTGAGTAGCTGGGATTACAGGTGCCTGCTACCACATCCAGCTGATTTTTTTTGTATTTTTAGTAGAGATGGGGTTTCTTTCTTTTTTTTTTTTTTTTTTGAGACGGAGTCTTGCTCTGTCGCCCAGGCTGGAGTGCAGTGGCGCGATCTCGGCTCACTGCAACCTCCGCCTCCCAGGTTCACGCCATTCTCCTGCCTCAGCCTCCCGAGTAGCTGGGACTACAGGCACCTGCCACCACACTCGGCTAATTTTTTGTATGTTTAGTAGATATGGGGTTTCACTGCTGTCTCAACCTTCTGACCTCATGATCCGCCCGCCTCGGCCTCCCAAAGTGCTGGGATTACAGGCATGAGCCACTGTGCCCGGCCTTTTTTTTTTTTTTTGAGATGGAGTCTCGCTCTGTCGCCCAGGCTGGAGTGCAATGCCACAATCTCAGCTCACTGCAAGCTCCACCTCCGAGGTTCACGCCATTCTCCTGCCTCAGCCTCCTGAGTAGCTGGGACTACAGGCGCCCGCCACCACGCCCAGCTAATTTTTTGTATTTTTAGTAGAGACGGGGTTTCACCTTGTTAGCCAGGATGGTCTTGATCTCCTGACCTCGTGATCCACCTGCCTCAGCCTCCCAAAGTGCTGGGATTACAGGTGTGAGCCACCATGCCTGGCCTTTTTTTTTTTTTTAAGACAGGAGTGTGGTGGCACAATCTCAGCTCACTGCAACCTCCCCTTCTAGGTTCAAGCAATTCTCCTGCCTCAGCTTCCTAAGTATAGTAATAGCTGGGACTATAGGCGCCCACCACCACGCCCGGCTAATCTTTTGTATTTTTAGTAGAGATGGGGTTTCACCATGTTGGCCAGGCTGGTCTCGAATTGCTGACCTCAAGTGATCTGCCCACCTGGGCCTCCCAAAGTGCTGGGACTATAGGCGGGAGCCACCGCGCCCAGCCTGGACTCTTTTTAATGAAGCCTTCAAAAAAACTCCTTTTCTCAGCGCTTCTTACTCTCTGAAACAGACTCTCCACTCTGCTAACCCTGCCTCTCACACTGTGGAACTCAACCGGATCTTTTTATTCTGAATCCACAACGTGAAGTACTTGTCCTCTGTCTATCGATGGCTACCTGTGTTTTGAAGTGTTTTTATGGGAATGAAGCACTGGAGGGGAGGAAATCAGGCCAGTTCTAGAAGTAGAAGGAAGGCGAAGAAACCAGGAAAAATATTTATGTGATGGGAGGAAAGGCAGTTTATAAATCACTCATGGATCTCTATGCCAGAGGGATGTGTGAGACACACGCATGCACACACACACTGACTTGCAGGTACATGCAGAGGCAGAAACAAGTCAGGACATGACACATACATGAATACACATACCATTCTCATCAGAAACCAGTCAGAGCAGAGGGGCCCTGCCTGGAGCAAGGAGACTGGAATTTATTCCCCTCCTCCTCTCAAAGGGTAATTTTGCTGCCTCCATGTCTAGGTTCCCCACAGATCTGGCTGCCTCAGACAGGGGCCCTGGTCTGGTGGCTGGACTCAGCCTGGAGGTCTTCACAGATGGAGGCCTATAAGAGGTGGCAGCTGACACCTGGAGGGAGCTGGATGAAAGCAGGCAGTGCAGAGTAGAGAAAGCCAGGTGGTGGGGGAGGGAGTGAGGGAGAAGAGGGGACCAGATTCAAGCAGCCTTGCGCTGGTTCTAAAATGGCCACAGCAAGGCAACGGACAGATGGTCCCTTTCTGATGCTGAGCCGGGGAAGTGGGGAAAGGGAAAAGGAAAAAATAAACACCATCACAGTCAGAAATTTAAAAATAAACTGAAAAACCTAAAAAATAAACCGTTTGCTTCTGAGGTTCCGTCTGCCTCCAGAACCTTCTAAGGGAAAATACAGAACTGCAGGCCTGGAAGGGCAGCCCCAGCCTCGGGTGTGAAGATAGTTGGAGGTCATTCTAGCCATCTCCTATCCCCAGCTGGAGTATCTTGCAAAGTCTTTCAGGCAGCGGAGGTGGTATCTCAGCCTTTACCTCCCCAGCACTTCTTCTCAAGTCTCACTGTAGGTAAGCGAGGCCATGGCTTTTCAAATGTCAGAGCCGTTTGATTCTGTCTCTCTCCCAAGAATCAGTTTCCGTCCGAGATCAGCAGAATCAAGTTCATCCTCTCACAGTTGCTGCCTCTCCTACCACCACCCAACTGCCCAGACTTTACAGTTCACAGGGTGCTTTCACAGTCATGACTGCATCTGCACTTAAACCTGCAGGGAAGCTTGGCAGGAATGACTAGCTCAGAGCACAGATGAGAAAGCCAGGGCTCTAACAAGTGAAATGTTTGTCAAGGTGAAGCAAGCGCTCAAACTTGCATAGCCTTCCGATGGCACACAGCAACAACCACACTCCCCCACCAACCACACTCTTCCCACCAACCACACTCCCCCCACCAACCACACTCCCCCTCAACCACACTCCACCAACCACACTCCCCCAACCACACTCTTCCCACCAACCACACTCCCCCCAACCACACTCTTCCCACCAACCACACTCCCCCACCAACCACACTCTTCCCACCAACCACACTCCCCCACCAACCACTCTACCTACCAACCACATTCCCCCCACCAACCACACTCTTCCCACCAACCACACTCCCTCACCAACCACACTCCCCCCACCAACCACACTCCCCCCACCAACCACACTCCCCCTCAACCACACTCCCCCACCAACCACACTCCCCCACCAACCACACTCCCCCCACCACACTCCCCCAACCACACTTCCCCCACCAACCACACTCCCCCCATCAACCACACTCCCCCCACCAACCACACTCCCCCTCAACCACACTCTCCCCACCAACCACACTCCCCCCACCAACCACACTCCCCCATCAATCACACTCCTCCACCAACCACACTCCCCACCAACCACACTCCCCCTCAACCACACTCCCCCCAACAACCACACTCCCCCACCAACCACACTCCCCCACAAATCACACTCCCCCACCAACCACACTCCCCCACCAACCACACTCCCCCACCAACCACACTCCCCCACAAACCACACTCCCCCACCAAACACACTCCACCCATCAACCACACTCCCCCACAAATCACACCCCCCCCACCCAGTAGATTCTGTCTCCCTCTGTGGGCCAAACAGGTTCTTCCTCAGGCTCACATATGACTGCTGTACAGCTGAATATCCCAGCTATGGTTTACCTGGAGCCTTGCCAATTCTCATGCTGGTGCCTTTTGGTTCTTGCTGGTGTGGGGATGAGGCAGAGGGGCAGGAACACTGCACTAACTAGTGGCTTTCTCTCTGTTCCTTCTCACTCCTGGGTCTCCACATGCTGTTCATCACTCTCCTCCTCTTTACCTGGATGCCTCGTGCCTGTGCCTCCCGACCTCCACTGAGACAATGTCACCTCCAGGAAGTGCCCCTCACAATCCTCTCCTCCCACAATACCCTGTACTGACTCTTTCGTGACACCAATTACATTTTTGTGATTGATTCTCTTATCTGTCTCCTCTGCTAGACTAAGTTCTTGGAGGTCAGGGCTGCCCTCAATACCTGTCTGTGGAATGAATGAATACAGAAATAAAAGAAAAACCTCCCTCCTTCCTTAATGCAGCAGTTATCTAGAAAAACCTCCCTCCTTCCTTAATGCAGCAGTTTCTCACACTAGTTTTGGATTATCTCCATCCTTCCAAAATAATCCTTGAATATTCACTTAAGTGGAATGCATTAGAGCAGCTACTAAAAGTGAATCTCCTTTTTGTCATATGAATCAGCACCTCATAATTTATATGCTTGGTAAATGTTTTACCAGAGAGTGGACTTTCTTAGTTTTTTTTTTTTTTTTTTTTTTTTTTTTGAGACAGAGTCTCACTCTGTTGCCCAGGCTGGAGTGCAGTGGGGTGATCTCAGCTCACCGCATCCTCTGCCTCCCCGATTCAAGTGATTCTCCTGTCCCAGCCTCCCAAGTAGTTGGGATTACAGGCACAAGCCACCACACCCGGCTAATTTTTGTATTTTTAGTAGAGACAGGGTTTACCTTGTTGGTCAGGCTGGTCTTGAACTCCTGACCTCAGGTGATCCACCCACCTTGGCCTCCTAAAGTGCTGGGATTACAGGCGTGAGCCACCACGCACGGCCCGAGAGTGGACTTTCTTAAGGCAGGGAATTCCTACGTGGTTGGCAAAAACCACACGGGAACACTAATAATGGCCCAAAGAGGTCGGGAGACAATGGGGCCAGGAGAGATGAAGGGAAGGCTTCTCGGAGGAGAAAAGAGCTCAGCGCAGTGGAAAGGAGAAGGAAACGGGCAGAGGCTGGGCTGGGTGAGAAGGGCCAAAGAAGTCCCCATCGCAGGGGGGCAGACAGCGAGCAGGAAGGCTCTAAGATGGAAGAGGGTAACTCAGGGGTAGGCTTTCTTAGCTGAGGACAACAGCAAGACAGGAGTGTGGTGAAATGGAATGATGGTGCTTAGTGTTTACTGCACTAAGAATCAGAAGGCCTGGGCACTGGTTCTGACTCTTCTGTATAATTTAGGCAAATCCGCAAATCACTTAACCTCTTGGAGGTTCTTTTCCTTATCTACCCAGGCCCATTTCACAAGAATTCACCGATGTGGAAACATTTTAAAATCCATAAAATGCTACAAATTTGCATAGAGTCATTATGAAGAAACTGGCTCCCACAAAGCAAGGCAAAACTGTGGCAAAAAGTGATTTACCAAAACTGTTGGCGTTACTGGGATTTAGGGTGAAGTGTGGCAGTTCAGGAGAGAAGAAACAAGATAAAAAGTAGAATTGAGAGGAAGGCAGGTGAGACAGAAGGGAGGAAAACCAGATCTGTGGCCTCGGAGGCAGGCTGACAGGGGCAGGGAGGAGGGCCAGTCCCTGGGAAGCAGACACCAGAGAGAGCAAGGAAGGGCACAGCATGGCAGTGGGAGGGGGCAGAAAGGAGATGCCAGGCCCGTTCAGGCTGGCAGATACCAAGCTAACGGAGGAGGACAACACTAGTAATGAGGGGTTGGATAATAATAAGGCTTCTTGCTGCTGGTTTTCAATTGCAGCACAAACAGATCATTATATCTTATTGCCAGCCTCCTTCTGTGGGAGTCAGGTGTCCACAAACCCAAGGAAGAGACTAGAGAAGCTTCATGACCAAGAAAACTTGTGACCTGTACCCATATGATTTCGAATTCCAGAAGACCAATGACAGGCCATGAGAGAAAACTTAGGAAGGAAAGCTCTGAAGGACAAGGGGACAGGAAAAGAGATCCTGGAAGGAGAGGGAGAGGGTGTGAAGCTGAGTCAGCTGTAGGAAGAACAGGTAGAGGGCGGGGGGGGCCAGCAGGAAGGGGAGGAAGGACTGTCTGAATCACACTCTGAGAAAGAACAGGGTTACTCTCCAAAGGGTGGAGACCAGATATTCTCTGGCCCCACCAAGGACCAACCCAGGATAAATTACAGCTGAAGAGACGCAGGTGAGACAGAAGGGGAACTTCCTGACCAGCAGGATGGAGCAAACATGTTCACTCAACTTTTCACCAGGCCTGTCTCTCCTGTTTATCCTAAGAAACCTTCCCAGACACCTTTCATGCCAAATCTATGGCCTGGTGAGCCAGCTCATGCATTCATTCAACAAACACTGAGTGTCAGCTATGTAGAGGCATTGCTAGATACTACAACGTGGCGTTGAACAAAACAGAAATGGTCCCTTCTTCCTTCATGGAGCTTACAGTCTAATCAAGGAAGCAGACATTAAAGACATAATTACACAACACCTGTGAAAGACTCTGATGAAAAAATACAGAGTGCTATCAGAACGATTCAAGGAGGCTGCAGTGAGCCACGCTTGCGCCACTGCACTACAGCCTGGATGACAGAGGGAGACAGTGTCTCAAAAAAAAGAAGAAAAGAAAGATTAAAGGGAGGTCAAGATGGGAAGGGAGCCAGGAAAGGCTCGCTAAGGAAGTGATGTTTAAGCTGAGACCAGCCGGGCGCGGTGGCTCACACCTGTAATCCCAGCGCTTTGGGAGGCCGAGGCGGGCGGACCACCTGAGGCCGGGAGTTCGAGACTAGCCTGACCAACATGGAGAAACCCCACCTCTACTAAACATACAAAAAATTAGCCGGGCATGGTGGCGGGTGCCTGTAATCCCAGCTACTCGGGAGGCTGAGGCAGGAGAATCGCTTAAACCAGGAGATGGAGGTTGCGATGAGCCAAGATCGCACCATTGCACTCCAGCCTGGGCAACAAGAGCAAAACTCCATCTCAAACAAACAAACAAAACACGCTGAGACCACAGGGACAGGCAAGAGTTAGCCAAGGGAGGAGCAGGGGTGGGGAGCACACAAAGGCTCAAGGCAGGAATCTCAAATCTCCAGGCAAGGCAGAGTAAGGAGCCCAGCATCCTGAGCCGCCCAGCCTTCAATCTGTGCCTTTCAATAAAGCTCTTTATACATTTCTGTGCCAATGTCTTGTCTCTCACATCCCAACAAAGCTGTGTGTCCCCAAGGGTGAGGCATAGGTTTTCCCCTCAGGCTGAATGCTTTCTCTGGGTGGGTCCAGAGCTTTTACAGAAAACAGCACGCAGGGCCAGAGTGACTGCCCAGTGATTGCCGGAATTCCTGAGTCAGGACAAACAGGAGTTTCGTGTTCAGATAGAAGATTTTGAAGTTACTCTTCCTTGCAGTGACGCTGGAAGACTTTCAGGAGATGGTAGGAGGCTCTAGGACTGGGAAAGGGAAGCCAAGCCCACAGAATTCCAGGTCTACACCTGGGGCTCACTGACTCACTCTCAGCCATTTACCTTAAAATCAATAGACTGGGTGGTTTTCTCTTTCTTAAACAAAATACTAAGTCAGGGGGAGAGGAATGTTAAAGAACCCCAGGAGACACGCTTTCTGGGAACTTTGTGCAATAAGAGATGTTGGGCAGCTACCACCTGTCTAATGAGCATTTACCAGACTAAGCACTTTACATCCCTTTTATTTAATCCTCTCAACATCCCTATTAGGTGAGTCTTGTTACCTTCATTTTACAAAGGACAAAACTGAGGCACAGGGGCCAGGTTCGCGGTGGCTTAGGCCTGTAATCCCAGCACTTTGGGAGGCTGAGGCAGACGGATCACCTGAGGTCAGGAGCTCAAGACAAGCCTAGCCAACATGGCAAAACCCCATCTCTACTAAAAAATACAAAAACGAGGCCAGGCGCGGTGGCTCACGCCTGTAATCCCAGCACTTTGGGAGGCCGAGGCAGGCGGATCACGAGGTCAGGAGATGGAGACCATCCTGGCTAACACGGTGAAACCCCGTCTCTACTAAAAATACAAAAAATTAGCCAGGTGTGGTGGCAGGTGCCTGTAGTCCCAGCTACTTGGGAGGCTGAGGCAGGAGAATGGCATGAACCTGGCAGGCGGAGTTTGCAGTGAGCCGAGATCACGCCACTGCACTCCAGCCTGGGCGATAGAGTGAGACTCCGTCTCAAAAAATACCCCCAAACACTGAGGCATAGGGGTATGAGTTACTTGCCAAAGAACACGTAGTAAGTGACAGAACTGGGGTTTGAATCAAGTCTGTCTCCAAGGTCTGTGCAGTTGCAGGGAGCGATGGGGAAGGTCCCCCATTCCAGGTTCCTCTCTGTCCCTAAGGAACAATTCCCTGTCTTCACAAGTCAATCCCCATTTGGTTCTGACTGCTCTTCCTCCTCAGCACTAGCAGACTCAGGAAACCGTCTCTGGAGTGTACATATTCTGAAGGTCATATTTCAAATCAAATAGTCCTTCAGAGTCCCTCCCGTCCTCCCTCCCTCCTTCTTCCTCTCTCTCCCCCATCTCTCCTCTTTTAAACAGAGATGAGGTCTCTATGTTGCCCAGGCTGGTCTCAAGCTACTGAGCTCAAGCACTCCACCCACCTCTGCCTCCCAAAGTGCTGGGAGTACAAGCATGAGCCACTGTACTGGGCCCAGACCTTTTTCTGAAACTTCCCTTTATTTTTTGTGTCCTTCCCATGGATGCTGGGCTCCATACCCACACTCCAACACTGCGCCCAACCTGAGATCTCTCTACACAGTAGGAACTGATGTTTCCGAGACCAGCTCTGAGACACCACCCGCCCTGGCCACTGGCACCCCCCGTTTCTGTCAGCTCCTCCCAGCTTAACACACAGTCACCACCTCATACATGCACTTTTCCTTATATATAGAACACTGTAAATTACACATTTAATATATTCATATGTTTAAGTCAGTGTGAGAACAAATAAAGCATATTTTGACCTCTATGACAGGGGGCTGGCTCTGTCTCATAGTAGGCACTCAAAAATTTTTAGGAAGAAATAAGGACTCCTGGGCCTGAAGGGATCTTAGGGAATCCTATCATCCTACAGTCCTCGGGAAACACTCCCTGCAACTGCATAGGCTTTGGAGACAGACTTGGATTCAAACCAGCATCAGCTCACCTAGTCAGGTGTGGTGGTGGGAGCCTGTAATCTCAGCTACGCTAGAGGCTGAGGCAGGAGAATTGATTGAACCGAGGAGGCAGAGGATGCAGTGAGCTGAGACTGCGCCACTGCATTCCAGCCTGAGCGAGACTCCATCTGAATGAATGAATGAATGAATGAATGAATGAATGAACTGGAACCAAAACTAGAACCAGGTCACCCGGCTCCTCATGCCATGTTCACTCCATGGATCACATTGCCTCAAAGGCAAAGTCAAACAGCCCGTTGTGTTAGCAGGCCTCCCACTGACAGCTCTTTAGAGATAGGCAATTTGGGCCACCTGAGGAGGTTATGAGGCCAGGACAGGAGATCCGGGCAGTAGCAGGTATGTTCATTGTTAACTTGTGAAACACAACTAAGCTGCAAAGACTACACTTTGGACTCCACACTGACCAATCTCACACGAGATCTCTGTTTCTGGTGGGGACTGGGCAATGCGGCAGAGTCATGAGGCATGAGTATGGGAAGTCAGCTCTCACTAGCTCTGAGGCCTTGGCCGACTGCTGGCACCTTCTGAAATGTAAGATGGGGCCGAGCCTGTGGCTCACACTTGTCATCCTAGCACTTTGGGGGGCAGAGGTGGGAGGATCACTTGAGGCCAGGAGTTCAAGGCTACAGCAAGTTATGATCATGCCGCTGCACTCCAGCCTGGTCAACAGAGCACGACCCTGTCTCAAAAAAAGTCATAATAAGATGGCCCATAGAGGCTCTGCTTTAAACACAAACACTTCAATCACTTATTACTTGTATTGGCGATGGTGATGGGAACAACATCCAGGCAGACTGTAGGATAACACCTAAGGATGTTAGTGTCTCTAGGAGTCATCAATTGGAACATTCCTTCATTCAAACTTTGAACATTAGGGTGGGGTAGACTGAGACTCAGTCCAAGGAAAACAACTGACTGCCATTCAGACCTGGCTCAGCCTAAGAAAAAAGTACGCTTTAGACTGCAGTAAGAGGAATTGTGGTGAGAAGGGCCATTCGGTATTGGGCAGTTCCTGGAAGGTGTCATCAAATACATGCAGCTTCCTCTAAGGTTGTACAAGGAGACAGAGAAAAAAGACCTCATGAGTCCTTGAGTCTTCCCTTGATCCTTCCAATCTGACACTATTGTGAGGAAACGCAGAGGTCTTTTGCACTGCAGGCTTCTGCCTGGTAATGTAAGGGCACAGCCCACAACAGTGTACCCTAAGATACCACCCCAGCCTACCAGCTAGAGGCCTGTATTTTGACCTCTAAGACAGGGGGCTCTCCTGCCCTCCTCTCTTCCTGGGCCACCTGGAGAATAAGTGTGTCACTCCCTCCCTTTTTCCTCCTTCCCCATGAAGGTCAATGAGAAACTGTAAATAGCAAGGATGAGGGAAAGTGAGGAGGCCAGGGAGGCCATTGCATTCATCTGTGTTCTAAAATATCCAACTCAGCCACATGCGGTGGCTCACGCCTGCAATCTCAGCACTTTGGGAGGCCAAGGCAGGTGGATCACTTGAGGTCAGGAGTTTGAGACCAGCCTGGCCACCACAGTAAAACCTCCATCTCTACTAAAAATACAAAAATTAGCTGGGCGTGGTGACGCATGCCTGTAGTCCCAGCTATTATGCTTGGGAGGCTGAGGCAGGAGAATCGCTTGAACCCAGGGGTGGAGGCTGCAGTTGAGCCAAGATTGTGCCACCGCACTCCAGCCTGGGTGACAGAGCAAGACTCTCTGTCAAAAAAAAAAAAAAATCCAACTCAATTCCAGGTCATGCTTTGGGTCTGTCCAGGAGTATGAACACTAGAGGAATACAGAGCCTGACCTGGCTCTCAACTGTCGAGGCCTGGAGGTCCAGGAGGGTTGACCGCCCTTTAACACATGTACCCCTCACATACTAATACAGAAATGCTGTTACATTCTATGATCTTCATCCCCTAAACGACCTTATTTCCAACTTCCTCTAGCACCTACCCATCAGACCCCCAGGATGAGATGAAGTAAGAGGCTGAAAACAAGCAAGATGACGAACATGAGCATAGCAGAACCAGAACGCAAGTCATGGCTGGGGGGTGGCAAAAGGAACTGAATACGGAACAGAAACCCTTAACTTCTCTTGCTGCTGCCCAATCCTCTTGTGATTCCAGACAGCCATTTCATTTAAAATCCCTTTCAGAAGCCTGTCATCTTGCATTAGAGCTGGGAGGGGGGTTGTGTTCTGGGTTGGCTGATGATACATGGACTTCTGAGACATGCACCTAGGCGGACTCAACAAATATTAAACATCTGCTCGGTCAGACCCTCTGCTCAACTCTGCACACACAAAAGACAATGAGATGCAGAATGGTGGGTGCCAGGGGCTGGAAGGTGGAGGGTTCAGAGAGTCAGTGTTTAATGGGTACAGAGCTTCATTTGGGGAGGATGAAGAAGTTCTGGAGATGGATAGTGGTTACAGTTGCACAACAATGTGAATGCACTTAATGCCACAGAAGTGTACGCTGAAAAATGGTTATAATGGTAAGTCTTACATATACTTAATCACATTAAAAAACAACAACAACACATTTTTAAAGGGTGGGGGGAAATGAGACAGCCTTCCTCTCCTCCCTCTGAAGAGGCTTTCTTTTGAATTATTCGACTATCTTTCCTGCAGACCAAATATTCTGAAGTCTTCTGCATGTCCTCTTCATCATCACAGTGATCTACCCAGCGGCCCTACATTTAGAAATCTCTATTAGTTCTGGGTACGAGCCCCGTGGAGCTCTGTATTCCCAACATGTGCTCCCCAGTGCCAACCCACCACCTGTTCAGCTCAGGCTGAGGTCACTCACTCTCCCCACCTCAAAAAGACCCAGGTATACGAATAAAAGGTGTCCTCTATTAAGACACAGATCTAGAGGCCAAGTGCTCCTGGAGGGCAGTAACTATCTCTCATACAGACTGTCTCCAGCCCATGAAACAGGCCATATTCCAAAAGTCTCCAAAAACTTTACCAAGAAACGTTATGGATAATGTTTTAGTCCTCAGTAAGCCCACAAAGCCTGTTTACCATAAGTCACAGAAATATCACACATTTACAATTAAAACAGGCAGGCCGGGCACGGTGGCTCACATTTGTAATCCCAGCACTTTGGGAGGCCGAGGTGGGTGGATCACCTGAGGTCAGGAGTTCGAGACCAGCCTGACCAACATGGTGAAACCCTGTCTCTACTAAAAATACAAAAATTAGCCAGGTGTGGTGGTGCGCACCTGTAATCCCAGCTACTCGGGAGGCTGAGACAGGAGGATCTTGAACCTGGGAGGTGGAGGTTGCAGTGAGCCTAGATCGCACCACTGTACTTCAGCCTGGGCAACAGAGCAAGAGTTCATCTCAAAAAAAGCAAAAAGAAACCAAAAAACAGGCAGAAAACAATACCAGTTGCATGTAGTCTAGAGTGCCAGCTACACACTGCCCTCCTGTCCTCCCCTCAGTGCCCACCCCCAAATACCCACCGCCACGTGGGAGCAGGTCTCCCTCCAACAGCATGGCAGCCCAGGTTTTGGAGTCAGACTTGAGTCTGAATGTGGGCTCTGCTGCTTACTGGCTGTCCAACCTCAGGCAAGTTACTTAACTTCCAAGTTAATTTCTGTAAGCTTTGGTTTCTTCATCTTGCAAATGAGGATAATATTGTCCACCTCAAAGGGTTCTTGTGAGGGACAATGAGATTACAGAAGGAAAGAACCTACTGCACAGTAAGTGTTCATTACGGTTCTTATTCCAACCCCAAACACCCCCTTCTGAAATGAATCTGCATCATAATATAAATGACTTTATCACAGCAATCTTTGTTCCAAACAGAAGACAGACAGAAAAAGGACTTACTAGAACCAACCAACTTCCTTTTTTTTCTTTTTCTTTTTCTTTCTTTTTTTTTTGTGACGGAGTCTCGTTCTGTCGCCCAGGCTGGAGTGCAGTGACGCAATCTAGGCTCACTGCAACCTCCGCCTCCTGAGTTCAAGCGATTCTCCTGCCTCACCCTCCCCAGTAGCTGGGATTACAGGTGCCTCCCACCATGCCTGGCTAATTTTTTGTATTTTTAGTAGAGACAGGGTTTCACTATGTTGGCCAGGCTGGTCTCGAACTCCTGACCTCAAGTAATCTGCCTGCCTCAGCCTCCCAAAGTGCTGGGATTACAGGCATGAGCCACTGCGCCCAGCCCAAACCAACTTCTGATCCACATCCTGCCTGTTCCCCCTACCCTGCTTCGACACGTGGGGCTCAGGTAGTTTCCACTGTGAGGAATGACCTTGTTAAGGTTAGGCGGACTCTCTCCACCTCCTCCAAACCTTAGCTACCCAAGGCCAGGAGCCTACCAAGTTCTGCTCTCTTGACTGGGACTGGGAAACAGCGAGCTGTGGAAGGCAGCTCTGCACAGCTCCAGCTCATCCCGCTCAGCTGTGCTGCTTCCCAGCCACTGGTCCACCCTGAAAGGATACACTAGGGCAAGGTGTCTTCTACTGTCTCTGGTCACTCCCCCAGATGTAAGTAATGACATTCATTCACCACACCTCTGTCTTCAAAAAGACAAGTGTAGGATGAAAAGACCCCAGAGAAGAGACGATGTGCTGGCCCCTCTCTAAGACGCCACATGCACCTGCCTATCTTTGCCTCACGCTGCTTAGGCTTTGGGGCACTCTGTCCAACTGTTTTCTTGAAGACTCTTTCCTGAGTCACTTAGAACTAAAGACTAAGTATTGCAAGCTTCAGCCACTTTCTTAAAAATGTGCCTTGAAAGAAAGAGTGGGTGGGTGGTGAAAAGAGAACATGAAAATCTTCCTTACAGTCTGGCTGGGAGCCTACCTATTTTACCTCCAGAGGTATGCTAGCAGACAAAAGCTGCTAGATATGTGCCATGCACAAGGGTAATTTAGAGCCCACATTCCTCTCTCTACCTGGAAAGAAGTACACAGGGGACTTAGGAACTACTTCCTACTTCATGGAAGAAACCTGTCCAGTCCCTCCCCGGGTCTCTCCCATGTCCATAACAAGTTCATGAGAGGTACCAGTGGCAATACGGGTGGAAAAACAGTTCTTCGATGCACTGTCCCAGACTCTGCCAGATGGTTAACATCCCCAATCCCCATGTGCTAAATGCCGTTAGTGCTCCCAAGGCAGTTTTTTTTTTTTTTTGGACAGAGTCTCGCTCTGTCGCCCAGGCTGGAGTGCAGTGGCGTGGTCTAGGCTCACTACAAGCTCCGCCTCCCGGGTTCATGCCATTCTCCTGCCTCAGCCTCCCAAGTAGCTGGGACTACAGGCGCCCACCACCGCGCCCGGCTAATTTTTTTTTGTATTTTTAGTAGAGACGGGGTTTCACCGTGTTAGCCAGGATGGTCTCGATCTCCTGACCTCGTGATCCGCCCGCCTCGGCCTCCCAAAGTGCTGGGATTACAGGCGTGAGCCACCGTGCCCGGTGCTCCCAAGACAGTTAATCCTCCCTCCTCAGCATTTCCGAACACCCCCTGGAGGCCAGCGGTGCCCTGGCTGAGAACCAGAGTCAGCACCTGTACTGCTTTGTATCCCACCGTGCCCAGCATATACTGGGCACCCTGTACTAATTGTGGATTGAATCTAGTAGGAAAGGTCCAGTCACAGACATACTTAGATCCATGTCTCTTACCAAGTAATTTCTGAACCCCTACTGTGTGCTCAGCATCTTTACAGGGATCAAGAGGAAATATGGATCACAGTCTCTACACATAAGGAAGTGGTAGGAAAAACAAGACCATAAAACATTATTCAATATAAGGCAATATATAAGCCAATGCTAAATTGTAAGGTCTGTGAGAAAGTGGATGATGTGATCAGTAAAGGCTGGCAAAATCGGAGGGGGGGCTTTGTGGGAAAAAAACATAAGTTGAGGTGGCTCTTGAAGGAGGTGGGATTGTCTTCATTCAGCCCTACCGATCCTCAGTCTGTCCCTGCCAGGACCGCTGTTCATAGAAAACTCCTCTAAGCCTGTGGTTCTAGGAGCAATTCGGCAACCCAAGCCCTTCAAATCCCATCCCCAGGTGGTTCCTGGAACAAGACGGTGTGAGAAATTTCCCATTCTTTGTCAGAAGACCAGAGAATATCAGGCCTGCTTTCAGGAGGCCTGCTCATCCCAAAGGCAATGGAAGAAACCACTGGCGGAAGTGCCCGTGCGGAGATGCCCAAGACAGAACCAAAAAGCATTTGGTGCTACGTGTACATACTGAGTCACAGGCTCTAAGTGCTGGGGCCCCCAGTTGTGACCACAGACACTCCCCACGTCGCCTGTCCCGTGTGGCCCTGGAATTTACCTGCTGTGGATGAACCTGAGGTCTCAGCTATCTCCTCTGTCAAAGGTCTTCCTGTCTCCTCCCTCGCCAACTATCACCACGTTTCTTAGGCAGCTCGTCCCCATTTCCTCCATTCATCTCTCTCCAGCCACCCAGGCTCCTCCCACAGGCTGTGCCACCAAACTCTCCTCACAGCCCACCTCACCGTCTTCTACGCTGCCATCCTCCCGACATTCAAGCTGGTCCCAGAGCCTGGCTCCTTCAGGAAGCCCAAGACTTGTGGCTTCCCCAACCCTGTTTCCTTTCAAACACGCAAAATCAGTAACACTCCCCCTCCACACCCCACTCATCCTTTACTTGTATACAATGTAAATGGAGAGTCTTGTCTATTTATATACACTATCTATCCAATGTTAGAAAGAATCCCACTTCCCACAGACCATGCAGCTAAGCTGAGGGCTGGGCCTACTTGTTCTTATTTCCGTGAGACTCACCTACCTTCCAAACTCCAGGCACCCCTTAGGCTAATAACATCTAGGGATACACCCTCCTCTCTCATATACCCCATTCTGAGGAGCCACATCTAAACTACAGACCCAGGACCCAGAGTCCCTCCCCCAGTAAGTAAAAATGAGGATTATATGAGTCATAAGCTCTTTCCATATACATGCTCTTAACTTTTGAGACAAACAAATAAACCATTTTTTTTCCCCTCCCACAGGAAGATTCAGAAGAAATCCTTTTGGAATTAAGCCTGGAGTTTCCACCCCATCCTCAGGCTTCTTGCCCTCAATTGTTGACCAAATGCTTCACCATAAGAATGGCCCCATTCCAGAGTCTCCCAATTCTCACCATCACCAAACTCTACCTGCTGGTTCAACTCTATCTCATCTTTCTGCAGCAATGCCAGTTTAGCTTTCTGACATGATTTACGTCTCTCTCAATCAACTAGATATTTTTGTCTTATAAAAGTTTTGTCTCGTAAAAGCAATTTTTTTTCCATGACACAGCCCTCAGGAGATCCTGAGAACATATGCTCAAAACAACTCTTGTTATATGTGCCCACGGCATGTTAAAGTTTTCACTACAGTCCTTATCATGGCTTGCAATCACACACACACACACACACACACACACACACACACACACACACACATTAATAAATAATTACTTGATTAATGTCTCTCCCTACTACTAGACTGTATCACCACTGTGTCCTCTGTGCCTAGTTCTAGATCTTTCCTCAAACAGAACACAAAATCCTACCCACACGTAGCACGTACAACCTCAGGCTGTCTAGCCACTGGACAAAATCTCCAGGGGCTCTCTTGGGTCACTACAATTCCATCCCTCTTTTCTCTCCTCCCTTTACTATTCCCGCCCTTAGTAAGAACAAAGAGCCTCAAAACCCTTTTTCCATTACCCCCTAGAAGAGCTTCCTATAGATAAGAGAAGCCCAGTCTCAAGTCAAGGACTGGTTGGTTCGGAGGAGAATGGCAAAAGAACTGGAGAGAGCAAATGGCCGTGAGCTGTGGACAGGATCCAAGTCTTCTACCAAGTCACGTTTTTGTATCTTACTATACTCTGTGTGAATTCAAGAAATGCTTTGAGAGTTGACTTATTAACCTGATCACTTTTGTTCTGTCTTCAATCCAGGAAAGAGAAGACTGAGACAGATAGTAGTAAAAAGTAGGTGTCGAAGGGAGTGGGGCTGAAGACCAGGTTTCAAGATGACTGCCCACTGACCACAGAAAATGAGTGTAATTCATGGAAATCAGGTTTAACAAAAATGTCCCAACCTTGAAGGTTGCAGGATATTGAGGAAAACAGTAACAGTTAAGAAAAAGAGTCTAGGCCGGGCACGGTGGCTCGCGCCTGTAATCCCAGCACTTTGGGAGGCTGAGGCGGGCAGATTACAAGGTCAGGAGATCAAGACCATCCTGGCTAACACGGTGAAACCCCGTCTCTACTAAAAATACAAAAAATTAGCCAGGCATTGTGGCGGGCGCCTATAGTCCCAGCTACTCGGGAGGCTGAAGCAGGAGAATGGCGTGAACCTGGGAGGTGGAGCTTGCAGTGAGCCAAGATCGCGCCACTGCACTCCAGCCTGGGCGACAGTGCGAGACTGCGTCTCAAAAAAAAAAAAAAGAGTCTAGGCTTGGAAAGGCATTGCTTTGCTTGGGTGGATGTCCCCAGAGATCTGGTTAAATAGCTTAGTAGAGGACTGAGTACTATATTACATCCTTTCCATAGAATCTGGAACCTGATTCTCAATACATAGACTGCCAATGCTTGGCGACTGACTGGTGGAGGACAGGGGATTATTGATAACTTTCTCTGATTCAACTTTGTCTGGAGACAGAAATATTAGACAGGCAGACTCTCACCGGCTTCTGGAGATGTTCTCCAGTCCAGAATTGCTTTATGTTTCTGGGTTGAGAGGTTACTGCATGCCTTATCTACAGACCTACACCAGAATACAAGCTTATCAAGAGCGGCTGCACACTTCCTGCCATCATGTCCCCTAAATGACAAACAAAGATGGTTTACATGTGCAAGTTGTGTGTGCTACCCTGTCTTAGGCACACAGTTCAATGCGGAAAGGAATGGAGGCCAGATGTGAAGTCAGGATTCTACCCAGCAGAGTTTTAATTGAGCTCCTGGGGCAAGAGTGAGGGGGTGGGCCAGCTGGCTCTCTTGCTGACCTTACTGTTATCTTAACTGTCAAAACCTCCCTGCTGTGTATATCCCTAAGGACTATGGCAAACTGTCCTATCCCATAGCATAAAGGGTGGGGATGTCTCTCCCTCTGTTTGGGGAATGACTGATCACCTAGTTTCAGCCAAGTTCTCAGTAATCTTCCTTCCGTCATTTTGCCAAGGCAGCATTTCACTTCATCTAAATGCCTCGAGCTCTCCAAACAGCCCCATTCCCCTTTTGCAATTTTCCAGGGGAAAAAAGTCACTATTGAATGTCCTTACTTCTGCAGCAGGAGGTCACTCTTCCCATTCTCCTGCCTAAGGCATCTGTCATCAACATTTGGACAGCTAGCACATCAGAACACAGAGGCAGTCCCACGTTGCTCAGCAGCCTAGAAATACATGCCCAGAACTGCCAGCTTTCCGAGTGGTGCTGGCTCCACAGCCGCATGAAGAGAGGAGGAAGGCGAAGACACTTATCCAAAGAACAGACACAACAACACAAAATCATTTGAAAAAGAACATCTCTGTCAGCAGCTACCACCGAGCAACAAGTCCTCCTTGAATGTGCTCCATGCTATGATTTCAATCCAGCGACGCTAAGCATAGCTCCACAGTTTCAAGGACACTGCAGTCAAACTTCGAGCTGGATGGTAAAAAGAAGCTGTTTGATTTACGAAGTGGGTCAACCAAAAGGAGCAATGCAAAAGGAAAGAGGTCAGGCCGGGGCCTGCCCCCTCCTTGTCCCATCCACTTCCACTGATATTTATCCTTTGTGAGAAGCCAAGAGTTCCAAGTCAGAAGGTTCTCCTGGAATATAACCAAGCTTAGACACAGAGGCCCACATTTTCTCTTGGATGATCCTAACTTTACTTCAAGGGCATCGCTCAGCTGGAGGCTTCCAGAACTGTTTACCCCAGACAAGGTCTGATTCTAAAAACATCCCAGAAAAAATATATTCTTAATTGTGCATAAATAAAAGAGGGGCAAAATGAAGCCTAAGAAGCCTGGGGTTTATTGAATACTTTCTCTAAGCAAGCACTGCACTGTGTTGTAAGTGGCACGTGTTGTAAGAGGCACTTCTGCAACAAACGTTTGAGCCCCCATTATGTGCAAAACATGCTTACAGGCACTGGGGATACAAAAATGAACAAAACAGCCAAAATCTTAGCTTTCACCGAACTGTTTGTTGTAGTTGTTGTTGTTGTTTGAAACAGAGTCTGGCTTTGTCGCCCAAGCTGGAGTGCAGTGGTGCAATCTTGGCTCACTGCAGCCTCCACCTCCAAGGTTCAAGTGATTCTCCTGCCTCAGCCTCCCGAGTAACTGGGATTACAGGTGTGCGCCACCATGCCTGGCTAATTTTTTTGTATTTTTTTTTTAGTAGAGATGGGGTTTTACCATGTTGGCCAGGCTGGTCTCGAACTTCTGACCTCTCAGGTGATCCATCTGCCTCGGCCTCCCAAAGTGCTGGGATTACGGTCGTGAGCTACCACACCCGGCCACTGAACTGACATTTTAGTGGGGCTGACAGGAATATATATGTCAGCTGGTGATAAATACTATGAGGAAGGATAAAGCAGACTAAGGGAATGCTATATAAAATTTTGTATAAAAATAAAGCAGAGGAGGGAGTGCTATTTTAGATAAAGTTGTCCTGGAAGGCTTCTCTGATTGCCATTTGATAAAAATAACTGCAAAAAGGGCTATCACATATATGATCACTGTGTGCTGGGAACTGTACTATGTACTTAACGTGCATTTAATCCTCAGCAACTCTGCATTCAGTACTATTACCATGCCCACGATACAGGACTGAATGAAGCTTAGAGAGGGTAAGGCTCTTGGCAGAATCTGCAGTAAGGGGAGCAGGGCCAGGGTTACATTGTAAGGGAAGAAACTAGGACTTGAACTCAGGGCTGCAACTTCAAACCACATGCTTTTCCTCACCACGCTGCAGCCAGGCTGGTGGAGAAAAGGAACCTCAAAGAGGTCAAGTGTGGCTGTGGCTACAAAGTAGCAGGTCCATCTGGCCTCCCCACACATGGCTAAGAGATTAACGCAATTCAATCTTCCCTAATATCAGACGATTACCCTCATCACCAGCTGAAAACCAAGCCTTATCTTGAAACAAGAGGAGAAATACACCTTGGGCTCCTTAAGGCCAGCAAATAAATACTGAATATGTTCCTCTCCCATCCCTCTCCCCAGCCCCCAACACAAGATGGTGTAGTAAAGGGAGACACCATTTCTCACTGGAAAACAGACAGGAATAGCACAAGAGATGACCACACTAGCTGCTTGACAGTGCCACAGCTCTCTGAGGTGGAGTCAGGGGGACAGGCACTGAGAAAAGGTCTGCAGCAGGGAGAAGGTAGGCCCTGGCTAGCCCCATGTCAAAGGAGGTACAGCCCTCCCTCAAGCCCTTGCATTTTAGGGTGGAAAGGGGGAAGCAGAATGCTTTCTTAAGCAGCTTAAGGCAGGCCAGACAGAAGCACTGGGAGCAGGTCACCCGGTCTCCTGAGGGGAGAGGAGAGTAAGGCTGGAGGCAACTGAGGAAGGCTAACATTGCTTCAAGCCGAGAAGTCCAGAAGGGAAATACCACATCTAAGGTCAGAGGGTATTTGTGGAATTGCTGGAAATCCCAGGTTGAGGGTCCAGGCCAAACTACCAAAAGAGGCTAAAAGAGAAACCCAAGCAGAGTCCCACAAGGTTCAAAGCAAAGGTTGTGGTTTGGACCCGCCCCGTTTTTTTGTTTTGTTTTGTTTTGTTTAAGACAAGGTCTCGCTTTGTCGCCCAAGCTGGAGTGCAGTGGTGCAATCTTGGCTCACTGCAACCTCCACCTCCCCAGTTCAAGCAGTTCTCCTGCCTCAGCCTCCTGAGTAGCTGGGATCACAGGTGTGTGCCACCACGTGTGGCTAATTTTTGTATTTTTAGTAAGGATGGGGTTTCACAGTGTTGGCCAGGCTGGTCCCGAACTCCTGACCTCAGGTGATGCCCCACCTCGGCCTCCCAAAGTGCTGGGATTACAGGTGTGAGCACCTCGCCCGGCCTGACCCACCCATTTTTTATTGTATTTTAGTCACCCCAGCCACAGGAACCTGTAGCCAGTTAATCAATAACCAAGGTAGGAAGGAAAGGTGGAAGTTCATCCCAGAATGGAGCACATTAAGGGACTTTTACTCAGAATCTGGATTTCCATCTTATATCCCGACTTGGGCATCCCAGTTTAAACCCTGGCCAAGCTGACCTTAAGAATCTCCCTCCTAAAGCCTTCAGACCCTCTCCTCATCAACACACACACATGTGCCTGCGCACACAGAGAAATTCAGCGTTCAGTCCCTCTCCCCAGAAATTTATCACGTTATCTCCAGCAAGTCAGGTCTCATAGCCCAACATTGCACCAAACAAATTATGACCTGAAAATGGGAAGAAAAAAAACTGTGTCACCTAGAGAAACCCAATTAACAACATGACTCTGCTCTCTTCAATTCCCCTCTCCCCTCCAGCCATATCCGGGGCACCTGTGTGGCTGACCGCCTTTTCCCACTACTGGCCATGTTCCCTGGCTGACTCAAAAGCCAGAAGACAGTCTGAGCAGGGGCCTCCAGAGAAGCGAACCTAGAGATGGGAAGTCCTGCTCTCCCCACACCTTGGCCTGGTGAGAGCGCTGGAAGGGCACAGGATCAAAACACCACCTGGCTGATAGTCTGGAGTGTTCACCTTGAAATCACTAAGTTGCCCCTTAAGCCAAAGCTCCCTGCCGAAGAAAAACATAAATGCTACAGAAAGCTCTTCCACCAGAGTGTGTAAGTGCCCCACAAGGGACAATGAACGGGTATTTCCAAGAAATTCCTGCAGCATTTGCTTCCTCTCAACCCCTTTCCTTATTAGCCCCTACCTTGAGAGGTCTCCATTGCTTCCAGCCTTTAGCTAACATAAACACCCACTGCCTTTCCAAACCTTCAGCCTGACCACATGTAGCATGTGTCGTGTGTGCGCGTGTGTGTGTGTGTAAACATCCTCTTCCCAGCCCGTGCTACAGTTTCCAAAGAGAAGAAATGCCTCCCCTCCTCCCCGAGGGCTCCCAGCCCCACGCTGCTGCAGAGTTGGTCATGTAATATTCAGGGACCCTGAGACCGGAAATGCCTGGTTCTGAACTGCTGCACTTGAAACAGGAGAGAAGGGATAGGGAAAACTGAACATGGGATTGAGGGTGACGGCACGAGGGGTGGGGTAGCTGAAATTCCGACCAGGGAAAGGATGCAATTCAAGGGTGGGCGAGGCAGAGAAAGAGGGATGAGAGAGAGGCTGTCGAGACAGTTGCAAAGTCAAAATTCCAGGAGCTGAGGAAGAGGAGGGGAAGGAAGAAGATAGAAGTAAGGGCAAAGGTGGAAAAGGGCCGAAAGGAGGTAAGGAACCACAATAAAGGTTCTCCAGGTGATGGGGGAGGCTAAGTTTAGGCGAACCAGTGGGTCCCGAACCCCAGAGTAAAGGTAGGGTGGCACGGAAGTGTGGGGGCGGGGCACCACAGGGTGGGGACCGAACTGGCTCCCAGCATCTGCAGCCAGTGGAGAGAGAAGGGAGCAGAGGGCGGGGGCCCAGCCGCGGCGGGAGTCCGGGAAAGGGGCACGGGTCGCCAAGGGGACCCAAGCTGGTGGAGGGGGCGCCCGGGAGCACGTGAGGCGTGCAGCCACCCCGCTCCCTCCCCTGCGGCGGGGACAGGAACCAGGGCGAGGCTGGGGGACGGCGCGCTCACCCGCAGGGCGGACAGGTCGATGTCGTCCAGGCTGCGGGCGGGGGCTGGGTCGCCCATGGCCTCCGTGGGGAACGGGGCACCGGGGCCGCTCACGCTCCGGCTCGGTTACTCCACTGCCGCCGTCGCCGCTTCTCCCCCATCGGAGAACCCCGGGGGCGGACTCCACCGCGCCTCCCCCGGAGACCGGGGAGGGGGAGGGCCGGCGCGAGGACCGACCCACCGACTGACAGGCGCTATCTCCCCGGAGCCAGCCACCCGAGCCTACCACCTCTCCTGCGCAGGCGCGGAGCGACCGCGCACTGGGAGGGTGGAAGCGCGAGCGTGACGCGAGCGCGCCGGGGCCCCCTCCCCCTAGGCGCCGACACCTGCGCGCAGGCGCAGGCGAGCAGGCGAAAGGCGCGCGCGAGGACGGAGCGACCGCGCGAGCCTGGCGTGAAAGAAGTGGGCGGCGGCCGAGGCGGCCGCGGAGCGCGCCCACCAGCTGGTGCGCGTGCGCACACGCGTTTCCTTTTCTTTCCCTATTTTTTTTGCCCTTTCTCTCCCTTATTTCCTTCTCAGATCTCCTTTGACGCCTTTCCTTCCCTTTCCCTCCTTCTTTCGTGTGCCCAGCTGCCAATCAAGCCACCCACCTTTCCATTTGCGGGGGAAGGGGGCGGTACCCAACCCCCTCTATTACTAGGGGGTTGTTATGGTAACTCCCCACGCGAGGGCTGGGTGGCCTCTAGATAGGACGGGCTGTCCACCCACCCAATTGCTATGGCAACAGTGGAGCCGCTGAGGGAGGGGCCACTCCGTGAGAACTTGGCTGGAGAAACCACGTGGGAGTTGGGGGGCAGAGGAGGGGCACCGGCTGCCTCAGGAATGCCCTTTCCACCCTCACCTAGCAGGTTGGGGAAGCATCGAGGTGCTCTCAGATCTCAGGATAAGGAATCCTACCGCAGACGTGTATCTCTGCACCTCTTTTAACAAAGTGTTCTGCACAAAGGAACTGTTTCCACAATTATTCATTGATCACTGGAGTCGCGCGTGGAGGAAGGGGTGGCGAAGGGGAAGAGAGGGAATCTGCGTTCAGTCCCTTAAAATATAGCTTGGGTCACCTTAGATCTAGTCATGTTGGCATAGCGCCTACAGCCATTAGCCTCAGTGGAGGCTGGGTAATGCTATCTAAGAACCACGAGTCATGTTCTACCACTGAAATGCTGTGTGACCTTGAGCAAGTTGCTTTGCTTCTCTGAGGTTTTCTTTCACTGTGAAATTGAGGGGGGAGGCTGTATGATCCTCAAGAGCTCTTCTAGCACCAACACTGCCTCTGAAAGACTCCACCACCAGCCTTAATATAAACATCATTTAAGAGAGTTTAATTTAGAAGTCCTTGAAAAATAGCTGAACACATTCCTTTCTGGACCGTTTTTAGCATTTGGGTGCACAGCCAGTCGGCCCCCTTCCCTAACCCCTAGCCCATTTTCCTTGCCACTGCCCTTATTCAAGCCGCTATCCCCATTCATCTCCTATTTGGCCTTCCGGCCTGACTCCTTCAAGTCAATTCTATTTTTTTTTTTTTTTTTTTTTTTTTGAGACAGAGTCTCACTCTGTCGCCCAGGCTGGAGTGCAGTGGTGCGATCTTAGCTCACTGCAAGCTCCGCTTTCCGGGTTCATGCCATTCTCCTGCCTCAGCCTCCTGAGTAGCTGGGACTACAGGCGCCCGCCACCTCGCCCGGCTAATTTTTTGTATTTTTAGTGGAGACGGGGTTTCACCATGTTAGCCAGGATGGTCTCGATCTCATGACCTCGTGATCCGCCCGCCTCGGCCTCCCAAAGTGCTGGGATTACAGGCGTCAGCCACTGTGCCCAGCCTCTATTTTTTTTTTTTTAAAGACAAAGTCTCGCTCTGTCACCCAGGCTGGAGTACAATGGTATGATCTCTGCTCACTGCAACCTCAAGCTTCTGGGCTCAAGCTATCCTCCAACCTCAGCCTCCCAAGTAGCCAGGACTACAGGCAGCGCATGCCACTACACCTGGCTGATTTTTATATGTTTTGTAGAGATGGGGCTTTGCCATGTCGCCCAATCTGGTCTCAAACCCCTGGCCTCAAGTGATCTGCCTGCCTCGGCCTCCCAAAATGCGGAGATTACAGGATCCCTTGAGGACAGGAGTTGGAGGCCAGCCTGGCCAACATGGTGGGGTTTTTTGTTTGTTTTTTTTTTTTTTTTTTTTTTTTTAGACAGTTTTAGTTTAGTTTAGTTTTTTTGTGAATTTGTGAATTTGTTTTTATTGGGGAACAGGACACAGGGTGGAAAATGTCACCTTGGTGGAGACAGAGTTTTGTTCTCGTTGCCCAGGCTGGAGTGCAGTGGCACAATCTTGGCTCACTGCAACCTCCGCCTCCCGGGTTCAAGCAATTCTCCTATCTCAGCCTCCTGAGTAGCTGGGATTACAGGTGCACGCCACCACGCGTAGCTAATTTTTTGTATTTTCAGTTGAGACGGGGTTTCATCATGTTGGCCAGGCTGGTCTCGAACTCCTGGTCTCAGGTGATCCACCTGCATTGGCCTCCCAAAGTGCAGGGATTACAGGCGTGAACCACCACAACCGGCCAAGCCTCGCAGACATAGTGAAACTCTGTCTCTATTAAAAATACAAAAAATTGGCCGGGCACGGTGGCTTGCGCCTGTAATCCCAGCACTTTTGGGGAGGCCGAGACGAGTGGATCACCTGAGGTCAGGAGTTTGAGACCAGCCTGGACAACATGGTGAAACCATGTCTCTACTAAAAATACAAAAATTAGCCGGGCATGGTGGCAGGCGCCTGTAATCCCAGCTATTCGGGATGCCGATGCAGAAGAATCGCTTGAACCCGGGAGGCAGAGGTTGCAGTGAGCCGAGAACGTGCCACTGCACTCCAGCCTGGGTGACAGAGCAAGACAACGTCTCAAAAAAAAAAAAAAAAAAAAAGCCGGGTGCAGTGGCTCACGCCTGTAATCCCAGCACTTTTGGGGAGGCCGAGACGAGTGGATCACCTGAGGTCAGGAGTTTGAGACCAGCCTGGACAACATGGTGAAACCATGTCTCTACTAAAAATACAAAAATTAGCCGGGCATGGTGGCAGGCGCCTGTAATCCCAGCTATTCGGGATGCCGATGCAGAAGAATCGCTTGAACCCGGGAGGCAGAGGTTGCAGTGAGCCGAGAACGTGCCACTGCACTCCAGCCTGGGTGACAGAGCAAGACAACGTCTCAAAAAAAAAAAAAAAAAAAAAGCCGGGTGCAGTGGCTCACGCCTGTAATCCCAGCACTTTGGGAGGCTGAGGCGGGAGGATCACGAGGTCAGGAGATCAAGACCATCCTGGCTAACACGGTGAAACCCCGTCTCTACCAAAAATACAAAAAAAAATTAGCCGGGCGTGGTGGTGGGCGCCTGTAGTCCCAGCTACTCCGGAGGCTGAGGCAGGAGAATGGTGTGAACCCCGGAGGCGGAGCTTGCAGTGAGCCGAGGTCGTGCCACTGCACTCCAGCCTGGGCGACAGAGCAAGACTCCGTCTCAAAAAAAAAAAAAAAAAAAATTGGCCGGGCGTGGTGGCTCATGCCTGCAATCCCAGCACTTGGGGAAGCCAAGGCAGGCGACTGCACTCCAGCCTGGGCAACAGCGCGAGACTCTGTCTCAAAAAAAAAAAAAAAAAAAAAAGGCCAGGCACGGTGGCTCACGCCTGTAATCCCAGCACTTTGGGAGGCCAAGGCAGGTGGATCACGAGGTCAAGAGATCGAGACCATCCTGACAAACATGGAGAAACCCCGTCTCTACTAAAAATACAAAATTGGCCGTGTGTGGTGGCGCATGCCTGTAATCCCAGCTACTTAGGAGGCCGGGGCAGGAGAATCTCTTGAATCTGGGAGGCGGAGGTTGTGGTGAGCCGAGATCATGCCATTGCACTCCAGCTTGGGCAACAAGAGCGAAACTCCATCTCAAAACAAAACAAAAACCAGATTGGCTGGGCATGGTGGCTCACACCTGTAATCCCCGCACTTTGGGAGGCTGAGGCAGGTGGATCACCTGAGATTGGGAGTTCGAGACCAGCCTGGCCAACATGGTGAAATGCCGTCTCTACTAAAAATACAAAAAATTAGCCGGGCGTGGTGGGGTGTGCCTATAATCCCAGCTACTTGGGAGGCTGAGGCAAGAGGATTGCTTGAACCCAGGAGGCAGAGGTTGCAGTGAGCTGAGATTGCACCACTGCACTCCCGCCTGGGTGACAGCGTGAGACTCTGTCTCATAAAAAAAAAAAAAAAAAAAAAAAAAAAAAAGGCAAAGTGTGGCATCAAAGACCCTTCAAGATTCTGCTGGCTTTTCTTGCCTTCTTTTTCTTTGTTAACGGTTTGCTTCTTTAGGAGTTGGGGTCTTGCTCTATCACCCAGGCTAGAGTGTAGTGGCACGATCATGGCTTACGGCAGCCTCCAACTCCTGGGCTCAAGTGTTAATCCTGCCTCAGGCTCTTGAGTTGCTGGGATTATAGGCATGAACCACCCTGCTCAGTGCCTGCCTTACTTTTCAATACTCAACTATTAGACCTCACATTTTCCAGCCATACTGAAATACTCTACTCACTTCCCAGAACTCAACTTTCTCTCCCCCAACCTTTGCATGTACTCTGTTTTCTCTTTGGAATATTCCCTAGCCTCTTGACCATGCCCATTCTTACCGTGCTTTGCTTTGTCCTACGTGTCTAAATCACCTCCTCCATGAAGCGTTCCTTGACTCACCAAGACTAAGTTTGGTTCTTCTGTTTTAGCTGCCTGGCTTTAGTCCATGGTAACATTTAATGATTTGAATTGTAAATGTCTTTTGAATCTCCTTAAAAGCAGGAATAATATTAGTCTTGTTCAGCACATGGCCTGGCACCCACTAGAAAATCAATAACGCTTAAAAAAAAAACAAAAGAAAGAAAATCACTAACACTTAAGCAATGAAGGTGGCCAGGCACCGTGGCCCATGCCTGTAATCCCAGCACTTTGGGAGGCTGAGGCGGGTGGATCACCTGAGGTCAGGGGTTCGAGACCAGCCTGACCAATATGGTGAAAACCTGTCTCTATGAAAAATACAAAAATTAGCTGGGCGTGGTGGTGTGCACCTGTAATCCCGGCTAGGTGGGAGGCTGAGGCAGGGGAATTGCTTGAACCCGGGAGGCGGAGGTTGCAGTGAGCTGTGATCATGCCACTGCACTCCAGCCCGGGCGACAGAGCGAGACTCCATCCCCAAAAAAAAAAAAAAAAAAGTAATGAAGGCATCTGTTGTCTGGGTGGGCACTGTAGCAGTTCAAAGTCAAGACCATGGGATAGTAGGAAAAAGCATAGAATTTGGAGGTAGTGCGTTAGGCAAATCACTAACCTCTCTGAGGCTCAACTCTGTCATCTGTAAAATGGAGATGATAATAATAGGGAGGTTAGGATAAAATAATTTATGTAAAGCACTTAGCATATACTAGGTCCTCAATAAATTTACTAATGCCTCAGTCATAGAGGCTCCTTTTTCCATTCTGGGTTTAGAGCCAACTCTTCTGATTCTAAGCCCTCTGCTTCCACCGCCCACCCCCCCTCACTATGGTTGGTCTCCATTTAAAAAACTCCAGGACTAGGCTGGGCACAGTGGCTCATGCCTGCAATCCCAGCACTTTGGGAGGCTAAGGCGGGTGGATCACGAGATCAGGAGTTCCAGGCCAGCCTGGCCAACATGGTGAAACCCCGTGTCTACTAAAAGTACAAAAATTAGCCAGGCACGGTGCAGGGGGCCTGTAATCCCAGCTACTCGGGAGGCTGAGGCAGGAGAATTGCTTGAACCCGGGAGGTGGAGGTTGCAGTGAGCCAAGATTGTGCCACTGCACTCCAGCCTGGGTGACAGAGCAAGACTCCATCTCAAAAAAAACCGAAAACAAACAAAAACCTCCAGGACTAGGGAGGCGAAGGCAGAGAGTGTGAAGCAGAAGCCCTCGGCACCCCTGGCCCAGCCTGGGGCAACCGCTGCCTCTATCTCACTCCACGGTGAATGAGGTAATGGTCCCCCTCGGGGAAACAGGCAGTTAGTGCTGACAATGAGGCTAATTAACAGGATGCCAATTAGTACCAGGAGACCGCTATATGTAGGAGGGGGGAATTCTGGCACAGAAGTAGCTTCTTTAGCTTCTTGTGAGGACTGAGGGCTGAACTCGAAGGAGAGGATGAGGCAGAGCAACATCATCCCCTCTTCATGCCTCACCCACCCAGCACATCTCTCTTCCAGGAGGGCTTCCTAATCTCCATACTTCACCCCCCTCAGTTTCCTCCTGCATCTGCGGTCAGTTCTGAGACTGGGGCGTGAGGCTGTGGGAATGAAGGGCAAGAGCCAGGACTTGTGCTACATTTTTTTCTTTCTTTCTTTCTTTTTTTTTTGAGATGGAGTCTCGCTCTGTCGCCCAGGCTGGAGTACAATGGCGCAATCTCAGCTCACTGCAACCTTCACCTCCCGGGTTCAAGCGATTCTCCTGCCTCAGCTTCCCCAGTAGCTGGGACTACAGGCGCCCACCACCGTGCCCGGCTGTTTTTGTATTTTTAGTAGAGAGGGGGTTTCGCCATGTTAGCCAGGATGGTCTCTATCTCCTGACCTTGTGATCCCCACACCTCGGCCTCCCAAAGTGCTGGGATTACAGGCATGAGCCACCGTGCCCGACCTACATTTTTTTCTAATTGAAATTATTTTGGGTCCGGGTGCGGTGGCTCACACCTGTAATCCCAGTACTTTGGGAGGCCGAGGCAGGCGGATCACTTGAGGTCGGGAGTTCGAGACCAGCCTGACCAACATGGAGAAACCCCGTCTCTACTAAAAAATATAAAATTAGCCGAGCGTGGTGGCACATGCCTCTAATCCCAGCTACTTGGGAGGCTGAGGCAGGAGAATCACTTGAACCCGGGAGGCGTAGGTTGCGGTGAGCCAAGATCGCGCCATTGCACTCCAGCCTGGGCAACGACTGAAACTCTGTCTCAAAAAAAAAAAAAAAAAAAAAGAAAAGAAAATATTTTGGGCTAGGCACGGTGGCTCATGCCTCTAATCCCAGCACTTTGGGAGGCCGAGGAGGGCGGATCATGAGGTCAGGAGTTTGAGACCAGCCTGGCCAACACAGTGAAACCCCGTCTCTACTAAATTATGCAAAAATTAGCCAGGCATGGTGGCGCCTGCCTGTAATCCCAGCTACTCAGGAGGCTGAGGCGGAAGGATTGATTGAGCCCAGGAGGTCCAGGCTGCAGTGAGCCATGATTACCCACTGCACTGCACTCCAGCCTTAGCAACAGACTGAGAGCCTGTCTCAAAAATGAAAAAATAAATAAGCTGGGCACCATGGCATGCACCTGTAGTCCCAGCTACTCTGGAGGCTGAGGTGGATTGCTTGAGCCCAGGAAATCAAAGCTGCAGAGAGCTGTGATCGCACCACTGCACTCTAGCCTGGGCCACAAAGCAGGACCTGTCTCTAAAAAATAAAAAGGAACAAAAATAAAAAATTTCAGACATACAAAAAGTTATGAATATGTGTGTTTATATTTTTTTAATTAAGAAATTTTTAGAGATGGGGTCTTGCTATGTTGCCCAGGCTGAGCTTGAACTCTTGGTCCTCCTGCCTCAGCCTCCTGAATAGCTGGGATTACAGGCTTTAGCCACCATGCCCAGCTTTTATATACACTCAGTTTAAGAAAATAAAAGGGGCCAGGTGCTGTGGCTTGTGCCTGTAATCCCAGCACTTTGGGAGGCCGAGGAGGGTGGATCACCTGAGGTCAGGAGTTCAAGACCAGCCTGGCCAACATGGTGAAACTCCGTCTCTACTAAAAATATAAAAAAATTAGTCAAACGTGGTAGTGGACGCCTGTAGTCCCAGCTACTCAGGAAGCTGAGACAGGAGAATTGCTTGAACCTGGGAGGCGGAGGGTGCAGTGAGCTGAGATTGTGCCACTGCACTCCAGCCTGGGCAACAGAGCAAGACTCCATCTCAAAAAAAAAAAAAAAGAAAAAAAGAAAAGAAATAAAAAGGGCCAGGTGCTATTTATGCCTGTAATCTCAGCACTTTAGGAGGCTGAGGTGGGAAGATGACTTAAGCCCAGGAGCTCAAGACCAGCTTGGGCAACAGAGCAAGACCCCATCTCTACAAAAAATAAAAACATTAGCCAGGTGTGGTGGCACATGCTTGTAGTCCCATCTATTCAGGAGGCTGAGGCAGGAGGATCTCTTGAGTCCAGGAGTTCAACATTGCAATGAGCTATGATTGTGCCATTGCACTCCAGCCTGGGGGACAGAACAAGACTCTGTCTGCCCCTCCCCGTCAAAAAAATTTACCATTGTTACCAGTGACATTCTCTCTGTATACCTCTTCTGGAAGGTAACCATTCCCAGTTTGGTATGTGCAATACGCTTCCATAGACCTTGCCATATTTTCCACCTCTTCCCTCTGGGAAGAGGGCTGTCCAGTAGAACTCTGTGCAGTGATGGAAATGGTCTATACTTGCACTGTCCAATATGTTAGTTACTGGCAACAATTGGCTACTGAGCACTTGAAATGTAGCTAGTGTAAGGGACTAAATTTTTTTTTTTTTTTTTTTGAGACAAAGCCTTGCTTGCTCTGTCGCCCAGGCTGGAGTGCAGTGGTGCAATCTCGGCTCACTGCAAGTTCTGCCTCTTGGATTCAAGCGATTCTCATGCCTCAGCCTCCTGAGTAGCTGGGATTACAGGCACCCGCCATCATACCCGGCTAATTTTTTTATTTTTGTAGAGACAGGGTTTCACCATGTTGGCCAGGCTGGTCTCGAACTCCTGACCTCAAGTGATCCACCCACCTTGGCCTCCCAAAGTGCTGGGATTACAGGCGTGAGCCACTGTGCCCAGCCCCTACATTTTTAATTCTAATTTTAATTCACTTAAATTGAAATAGCCAGGCCCAGCACGGTGGCTCACACCTGTAATCCCAGCACTTTGGGAGGCCGAGGCGGGTGAATCATCTGAGGTCAGGAGTTTGAGACCAGCCTGGCCAACATAGCAAAACCCTGTCTCTACTAAAAATACAAAAATTAGTCTGGGTGCAGTGGCTCATGCCTGTAGTCCCAGCACTTTGGGAGGCTGAGGTGGGTGGATGATGAGGTCAGGAGTTCGAGACCAGCCTGGCCAACTAAAAAATATACAAATTAGCCAGGCGTGGTGGCGGGCGCCTGTAATCCCAGCTGTTCAGGAGGCTGAGGCAGGAGAATTGCTTGAGCCCAGGAGGTGGAGGTTGCAGTGAGCTGAGATCACGCCACTGCACTCCAGCCTGGACGACAGAGCAAGACTCTGTCTCAAAAAAAAAAAAATTAGCCGGGCGTGGTGGCACACACCTGTAGTCCCAGCTACTCAGGAGGCTGAGGCAGGAGAATCGCTTGAACCTGGGAAGTGGAGGTTGCAGTGAGCTGAGATCATGCCACTGCACTCCAGCCTGGGTGACAGAGAAGACTCCGTCTCAAAAAAAAAATAATAATAATAATAAATAGAAAAAGAAATAGCCAAACATGGCTAGTGGCTAGTGGCTACTGTACTGGACAGTGAGGCTCCAGAACAGAAGTGCCATACGGGTGAGGACTTTGTTGCACTCACTTCTGTGAGTCTAGAACAGAGCTGGCAAATAGCAGGGAATCAATAAATATTTAAGTCAATGGCTGAGTCTTGACAGCAAGCTAGTCATGTAAGTATTATTCCCATTTCCCAGCGGGGACCACTGAGGCCCAGAGAAGTGAATGACTTGACAAGTTCACCTAGCTTCTCATTGAGGAGTCCAGGATTTGGGTCCAGGTCTTCCTGACCTTAAGCCTATACCCTCAACCACTCCCACAGGGCCTTCATTAAGCCTCTACCAGGGCTGTTGCTTGAACAAGAGGCAGCCTCTCTAGGTCCTTCTCAGAGCATCTCCCTCACCTGCGGTTGTGATAGCAGCTCCACAGTTCTCCAGGTGCCCTGGTTGGGCCCTGCCCGTCCTTCTACCCAGGCGGCACTGTGTCAACACCTTCTCCTCTCAGGAGCCAGGTGACCGAGCTCCCGAAGCCACAGATAGGTAGAACAGAGGTGGAGAGAGGAGAGTGGAGGAGGGTGGAGATAAGGTGAAGGGGACTGGTGCCCCGTGTGGGCAGGAACGGGAGGCTGGAACGAGCAGTTAGTTCCTCCAAGGAAGACGCATGAACCTTTTCTACACCTTTATTTATGAAATGCTTATTGAACGGATACAAAGTTAGTGTCTGTCAGCAGGCTGGTGGAGGGAGTTAATGTGCCCTCCTTCCTTCCCCTGGTGGGGGCTGAAGCCAGAAGTGGCTTTATCCTTCCCTCCACCTTGGCAGCAATGGGCTGGGAGGGCCCTGGGACAGGGAGGGGGTTCAAGGGCAGGAAGAGGAAGGGAACAATGGGTAGTAGGGCCTGGGGCAGAGCCCCCTTCTCCTGGAATAAGAGGCTTGACCCTGCTCACCCTGGCAGGAGCTGTGCTTCTCCTTTGCAGCATGGAGAAGTGGTTTGCACTGGGCAGCAGGGGGGATGAGCTCTGGGACTCTCTCCTCCTCCCCAGCCCAGGGTTGGGAGTGCCCTTTTCAGCTATTTCTCACGTAAGGGTCCTCTGTAACACCTCTAGTTCCCTTCAGGAATGCCTGCCTCCCCAGATCTCAAAGGGCACTGCCCTCAGTCCTTGGGGTTAAGGGGCAGGGAGCCAGACGTGGTGGGGCACAGCAGCTGGTGACCTCTCCCTGACGGGGGCCTCAACTATGTCCACACTTCTAGGGGGATCATGCCCTCCTTGCTACCCAGCGGGGGCAGCAAAGACTCATCCTCTAGGAACTTGAGGGGGAAGTGGACCAGGTGGCCCTGGACCTGGGTGAGCTCAGACCGAGCCAAGGGGGGACTGACCGTGGCCAAGGGCTCCACGGCCACGTACTCCCGGAGAGTCCGCAGGGAACGCGTGGCATTGGATGGCAGGCAGCGGAAGATCTGTGGGCGGGGGCATGGACGCCAGTAAGGCTTGGGGAGACTCTCCCAACAATCTAAGTCCAACTAGGCTAGACCCCTTCCCCCATACCATCTCTCCATACCCCCCGTTGACCCTGGGCCACTAACTCTCTCTCTCTTTTTTTTTTTGAGACGGAGTTTCACTCTTTTTGCCCAGGCTGGAGTGCAATGGTGCGATCTCGGCTCACTACAATCTCCACCTCTCGGGTTCAAGTGATTCTCCTGCCTCTGCCTCCTGAGTAGCTGGGATTACAGGTGCCCACCACCATGCCCGGCTAACTTTTGTACTTTTTTTTTTTGAGACAGAGTTTTGCTCTTGTTGCCCAGGTGGCTGGAGTGCAATGGCGTGATCTCGGCTCACTGAAATCTCTGTCTCCTGAGTTCAAGAGATTCTCCTGCCTCAGCCTCCCAGCCACACCTAGCTAATTTTTTTGTATTTTTAGTAGAGATGGGGTTTTGCCATGTTGGGAGGCTGATCTCAAACTCCTGACCTCAGGTGATCCACCGGGCCTTGGCCTCCCAAAGTGCTGGGATTACAGGCATGAGCCACTGCACCCGGCCTGGGCCACTAAATCTCTTGATAGCAAATGTCCCCAGGCCCTCATCCCCCTTCCAATAATGACTGTATGGTGGCGCTTCTCTCCATCCTACCCTGAGCAGGATAATCCACAAATTTCCCCAGGCCACTCTCCCCCACCCCTCCCAAGTTCCCACCTGCTCATAGATATTGGCGTTGCTCTCAGCCATGTCTTGCCACAACTGGAAGAAGTCATCACAGATGGGGTCTCGGAGATCCAAGTCTGGCCGGGTATTTGCTCCAAGAATCACACTATAGGAGAAAGGGGTCCCAGCAGGGCCAGATTAAGATCCTTAGAGAACCTGAGTACCAGAAAAGTTACATTGTCCCTACTCAGGTAATTCAAAATTGGCTGGGTGCGGTGGCTCACGCCTGTATTCCCAGCACTTTGGGAGGATGAGGCAGGTGGATTGCTTGAGCTCAGGAATTCAAGACCAGCCTGGGCAATATGGCAAAACCCCATCTCTACAAAAAAATACAAAAATTAGCCAGGCACGGTGGCATGTGCCTATAGTCCCAGCTACTTGGGAGGCTGAAGTGGGAGGATCACTTCAGCTGGCGAAGTCGAGGTTGCAGTGAGCCGTGGTAACGCCACTGAACTCTAGCTGGGTGACAGAGCAAGACCCTATCTCAAAACAAACAAACAAACAAAAACAAAATAAATGCAATATAAAATAGTAAAATAAGTGTAAAAGAAGCCAACAGAGTTCTGATTTGTCTTGACTTTGATGACTACCTTGATGCTTTAAAAAATTATTTTTATTTTAAATTTTCTTCTTTTTCTGTTCTTTCCCCAATCCTCAGAACCTGTGAAAAAAATTACTTTTAAAAGATTTTTTTTTTGGCCGGGCACGGTGGCTCATGCCTGTAATCCCAGCACTTTGGGAGGCTGAGATGGGCGGATCACGAGGTCAGGAGATCGAGACCATCCTGGCTAACACGGTGAAACCCCATCTATACTAAAAATACAAAAAATTAGCTGGGCATGGTGGCGGGCGCCTGTAATCCCAGCTACTCGGGAGGCTGAGGCAGGAGAATGGTATGAACCCGGGAGGCGGAGCTTGCAGTGAGCCGAGATCGCGCCACTGCACTCCAGCGTGGGTGACAGAGCGACTCCGTCTCAAAAAGAAAACAAACAAACAAACAAAACACAAAAGTTTTTTTTTTTTGGCCGGGCGTGGTGGCTCATGCCTGTAATCCCAGCACTTTGGGAGGCGGAGGCGGGCAGATCACGAGGTCAAGAGATCTAGACCATCCTGGCTAACACGGTGAAACCCCGTCTCTACTAAAAATACAAAAAATTAGCCGGGCGAGGTGGCGGGTGCCTGTAGTCCCAGCTACTCGGGAGGCTGAGGCAGGAGAATGGCATGAACCCTGGGCGGCGGAGCCTGCAGTGAGCCGAGATCGCGCCACTGCACTCCAGCCTGGGCGACAGTGAGACTCCCTCTCAAAAAAAAAGAAAAAAAAAAAAGATTTTTTTTTTTTTTTGGCCAGGGGCGGTGGTTCATGCCTGTAATCCCAGCACTTTGGGAGGCCGAAGCCTGAGGTCAGGAGTTCAAGATCAGCCTGGCCAACACAGCGAAACCCTGTCTCTACTAAAAATACAAAAATTAGCTGGGCGTGGTGGTGGGCGCCTGTAATCCCAGCTACTCCGGAGGCTGAGGCAGAAGAATTGCTTGAACCCAGGAGGCGGAGGTTGCAGTGAGCCAGGATCGTGCCATTGCACTCCAGCCTGGGCGACAAGAGTGAAACCGTGTCTCAACAACAACAACAACAACAACAAAAAAGATTTCTTTTTCGTGGCCAGGTGCAGTGGCTCACGCCTGTAATCCCAGCACTTTGGAATGCTGAAGTGGGTGGATCACCTGAGGTCGGGAGTTCGAGACCAGCCTGACCAACACGGCGAAACCCCATCTCTACTAAAAATACAAAATTAGCTGGGCGTGGTGGCGCATGCCTGTAATCCCAGCTACTCGGGAGGCTGAGGCAGGAGAATCGCTTGAACCCAGGGCAGAGGTTGCAGTGAGCTGAGATCTCGCCATTGCACTCCAGCCTGGGCAACAAGAGCAAAACTCCGTCTCAAAAAAAAAAGATTTTTTTCTCTTTTTGTTTTTTGGTGTTCCTGCTTTACTGATACTCTAAACTGATTAGTCCTAGTAGCTGGGATCACAGGCGCCCGCCACCACACCCAGCTGATTTTTTGTATTTTTAGTAGAGACGGGTTTCACTATGTTAGCCAGGCTGGTCTCAAAATCCTGACCTCAGGCAATCCACCCGCCTTGGCCTCCCAAAGTGCTGGGATTAGAGGCGTGAGCTGCCGCGCCCAGCCTTGCCTATTGAGAATCTAGTACTGCCTCTACCTCTGGCTCCGGGAGTACCTATGCGGTGCTACCTCTTGTCCTGCTCAAAAGGCAGACGCCCCCATCTCCCTCCCACCCTGTGGCATCCCGCCCCAGCTCTACCCGAAGCAGTGCTTCCGCAGACTCAAGGCAAACCTGCCCGCCTGATACTCTGCCCCATTCATGAGGGATGGTTCCGTCTCTGTGTCCTCGATCAGCACGGCCAGCTCACTGTCCCGCTTCCCCAGCAAGCTCCGGTCATTGATGTTTGCAGAACCTGGGGTGGATGCGGGGCACACTGTGTGCTTGGGCCCAGGGCACTCTCCCCAGTACCCCATCCCCTCTACCAAAGCACTGGCCTGCAACATTCCTTCTTGGACCCTCCACCCCTACACGAGCCTCAGCTGCAGTCTCTGTCATCCTGCCTCTCATCTCTTCGCCTGTCCCCACACCCTCTCCCTGCCAGAGGACTAGATCCGGCACTGACCAATGATGACTGTCCGGTCATCTGCGATGAGCACCTTGCTGTGGATGTAGATGAGCTCCGAGACGGGGTGCCCGCCCAGCTCTCCGTGTGTACGAAGCCCGCAGATGGAAATATAGTCCCGCCATGCTGTCCCCACTGCGTGACAGGAGGGGAAGTGAGGTGAGAGGTGGCTCTGTGTGCACAGGGCCCTGTCCCACCTCCTCTCACTCCAGAAACTCTTCCTACATAGAGTCTGGTCTCTCTCCTTCTCCCTGCAGTGAAAGGCCAGCTATGGTCTGCGTAGCGTCAGAGGCTCACAGGAGTGACAGCCTCCTTCCCCCACCCCCAGGCCTGCAGCGCCCCAATCTCCCTCTCCCAGGGGCCCAGGGCTTGAGCCCCCAGCCCCCAGCACTCACTGGCTGCTTTAAGGCGATGCAGGATTGAATACTCCCCACGACACAGGGTCCTGAGAGAAAAGAAAGAGGGAGAGAAGTGGAGGCTGGCAGAGGGGAGGGGAGGTCAGGAGAGGTGGCCCTTCTTTAAGGCCCAGCAGGAAGGGATCAGGACAGAATCAGGAGGGGGACACGGGTGGGATGGGGCCACTGAGAGCTGGAGTCCGCCTGGGGGGTCACCTGTAAGTAAAGTGCAGAATGGCCTGGATGGAGTTGCCACCGCCCGTGGAGATGTCACCCTCGAAGCCAGGGAGTAAGGGCAAAAGCACGTAGACTCGGTAACACCACCCCTGTCTGGGGAGGGGGTGGAGTCAGAGGTGCGACTGGTCCCTCAAACCCCACCCCCTTCAACCGGGCTCAAACCACACCCACAGTCCCCACCTTCCTGACAGTCCACCTTACTTGTGGGCCTTCAGGATTCTGTCCACAATCTCATCGCCCACCTTGTTCAGAACCGTCCGCCCATCTGAGCAGCTAATGAAGAACTGATTCTGGGGCAAGAATCAGAGACAGACATCAGCAGCCTGGCCCCTGGCCCTGTCCTCGGCCTCCAGCCTTGGTCCCAGGCTCCAGGCGTCTGCTTCTGCTCCACCAGCCCTCAATGACTGACTCCACTCATTCCCCAGGTCTCTCTCCTGGGACACCCCTTCCATGCTCTCCCCCACCTCCTCCCAGTCAGACCTCAATGTAGAGGAAGTGCTGGCTCTCCCTGATGGTGTGCAGGTAGGCATTGAGGATGGAGTTCTCCAGAGTCCCTGCTGACCAGCGGTCCACTGATCGCAAGACCTAGGGAATGGTGAATGCGATGTGCTTCATTTCTTTTCTTTTTTAAGACAGAGTCTCGCTCTGTTGCCTAGGCTGGAGTGCAGTGGCATGATCTCCGCTCACTGCAAGCTCCTCCTCCTGGGTTCACGCCATTCTCCTGCCTCAGCCTCCTAAGTAGCTGGGACTACAGGTACGCACCACCACTCCCGGCTAATTTTTTGTATTTTTAGTAGAGACAGGGTTTCATGGTGTTAGCCAGGATGGTCTTGCTCTCCGGACCTCGTGATCCGCCTGCCTCGGCCTCCCAAAGTGCTGGGATTACAGGCGTAAGCCACTGCGCCTGGCCTTTTATTTTATTTTTGAGATGGAGTCTCACTCTGTTGCCCAGGCTGGAGTGCAGTGGCGTGATCTCAGCTCACTACAACATCCTCCTCCTGGGTTCAAGCGATTCTCCTGCCTTAGCCTCCCTAGTAGCTGGGACTACAGGTACGCACCACCACGCCCGGCTAATTTTTTGTATTTTTAGTAGAGATGGGGTTTCACCATGTTAGCCAGGATGGTCTCGATCTCCGGACCTTGTGATCCGCCTGCCTTGGCCTTCCAAAGTGCTGGGATTATAGGCGTGAGCCACCGTGCCTGGCCGTGATGTGCTTCTTAACCCCAGGAAAGGAGAGTGTGGGCAGCTCTCACACCAGGGAGAGTGGGTTGGGGTGTTAGGCTGAAGGAGACAAAGGGGAGGGCTGGCTGAAGTGGGGGGCCTCACCTGTACGGTGGTGCACTGCCCTCCTGGAAGTGTGAAGGGGAGCTGATTGGCCGTGCTGGTAGACTTGGGAAGCAGGTAGGGGTATGTGGGAGTCTTGTACTTGGCCTTGGTGGTCTGACGTGGAGGGATGGCAGAGTCAGCAGGAGGTGCCAATCTGCCCTGGCTCCCTCCCTACCTCCAGCCCCTATCGGAGGGAATGAACACCTTGGTGAAGTTCCAGCGCTGGATGAAGTGCCGGGCAAGGTCCCGGGCCGGTAGGCCATGGACGACCACCCCAACGTCCCGCCATGGCATCCGAGGGGTCGTCTCCCTGTCAATGAAATCTGGGGGGTCCCAGGAGAGTCAGGGGAGATGTCAGGGCTGGACTCCTTGGGACACTTGGGGCAGGGAGAAAGAGCCTGCCAGAGGGAGGGCTGTACCACCGTTGACCCCTCTCATCCCACTCTCAGTACCAGCCCCAGCTTCTGACCCTGCTCTCAGCTCTCTGGGGCTTTGGCGGGTGGGAGGCTTCACCTTCGAAAGGCCGGTCCAGCTGCACCCAGTCCTTGGTGATAAGATTGCTGTAGTCCTTGCCCAGCCAGAAGAATTGGTTGTGAGAGAGGTCTGGGGTGGCTGGTGAGTCTGGGCGCGGGGTGGGAGGCTGTAGGGGGAACACACCCAAGCCAGGGGCAAGGGGAAGTCATGGGGCTGTACAGAGCCAGGGCCAAAGAGAGGAGCACTGAAAGAGTGAGAGAGACCGAGAGGAAGAATGAAACAGAGGGTCTGATTCCCCAGCCCTCCCCTCCAGTTGCCTTTGACACTTTTAGAGGAATGGGGTGATGGTCAGTGAAAATGGGGAAAGGACTGGGTGGGTGACAGCACTTTTTTTTTTTTTTTTGAGACAGAGTCTCGCTCTGTTGCCCAGGGTGGAGTACAATGGCACAATCTCGGCTCACTGCAACCTCCGCCTCCTGGGTTCAAGTGATTCTCCTGCCTCAGCCTCCCGAGTAGCTTCAATGACAGGCAACTGCCACCATGCCCAGCTAATTTTTTGCATTTTTAGTAGAGACAGGGTTTCACCATGTCGGTCAGGCTGGTCTCGAACTCCAGACCTCAGGTGATCCACCCGCCTTGGCCTCCCAAAGTGCTGGGATTACAGGCATAAGCCATGGCTCCCGGCCAGTTACAGCACTTTCAAAGTGGGTTCTTGGAGTCCCAGAAAGTCTGAGGAACCCTGAGGTTGGCAGGGCCTGGAATGACTGAGGGGGTAAGGCTGGAGCTGGGAAATGGTGTTGATTGAGCTTATCTGAGTTTGGGGGTGCTCAGGAAGGCCTCAGGGGGATTACCTGGGAGGCAGCTGATTCAGAGGAGTCTCCAAGGTCAGTCAGTCGGTAGTGCAGGTCATCCCAGCGGCCATAGGCAAGGTCCAGTCCCCCCAGGAATGCTACCACTTGGTCCACCACCAGGAGCTTCTCATGATGGGCCCACAACGTCACTTGGTCTGGGTGACGCATCACCTGGAGCAGGCATGGAGGGTTCATGAGGGTGGGTTTAGGTGAAGGAAAACAGGAGGTACTGGGAGGGAGAGAGGAAAGATGGAAAGATGAGACCATCAGGGAGCGGGAGCGCTGGGGGCTGGGACAGTGTGGGGAGAAGGGCTGTCATGTGGGAGGGTCTCTGAGGCCGAGAGTCACCTTTATGTTGGGGTGCAGCAGCATCAGCGCCCTCTTGCTATAGCCACTGTTGATGCCCAAGGCCAATTCCACTTCTTTAAACAGCAGAATAGACACACGGACACCCTCCTCCTGGTGGTGAGTTGGGGAATCAGATCCTAGTGCCTCTCCCAGAGTAGCCCCTTTCCACACTCCCAAACCTTTTCCACGTGTGTCCCTCCAGCTTGTCTGGAGATCCTAGAGGCTCTGCCACATATGCCCTGCTTTGCTGCTTGCCACAGACTTAGACTAAATGTCATCTGTGTGCTCACCCACTCACCCATCCACACATCTATCCACCCACCCTTCATCATCCATCCATCCATCTTCCCAAGCATTTACTCATCCCTTTATGTACCGTCTATCATTCATCCATCTACCTGCCTACCCTCCTAGCCCTCCACCTTTCCAACTCATATCCTTCCATCCATCACCCTTTCTGTCCTCTATCCATCCACCTGCCCAGCCACCCTGCATCATCCATGCATCCTTCTTCCTGTCCATCAACACCACACATGCCCCCTCCATGGCAGGTACTGTGCCTTGTAGTGGAACAGTGATATTAACTAGTCCAGTGAGAGAGATAGACATGTATACCCCCAGATAACACAATAAAGTATTATGTATACTGGGAGGGAAGTCTCTGCCAGGTGGAGGGAGCATGAAGAGGAAGTTGTCAGTTCTCCTTAGGGCAGAGGGAGAGGGCGGAGGTGATGTCTGACAGGTGCTGGGCCAGGATGGACACTTTTCCCTCCCCTGAAGCCTCAGACTGCCTAATTCTCCCACACTGCAGCCCTGCTAATCAACCTCCACCCACAGGCAACCCCCTCCCCCTGCGGCCTGACCACTCTCCTCACCGCCTTCCTCTTGAGCATAATGTCCAGTCTCCAGTCATCTGAATGGGCCGGACGCTTCAGGTAAACCTCAGGACTCAACCTGGGATTCAGGGCAGTGGATTAGGGGCAAACGAAGCCCCAGACCACCAGCTGCACCCCCCTTCTCCTCCTAATGCTGATCTGCCCCAGGCTCTATCCTGCCCCATGTTGTTGGGGCCTTTTCCCACTCACCACCAGTCTGTGATGAAAATCTCCTCTTGAGCTCGAAGGATGGCATCTGCCACAGCAGCAAAGTAACCTGCCCCATTCACAAACCTGGGGGGAGGCCAAGCCAAGGAGGTCAGGGGAGTCAGAAGCCAGAAAGCTCTGGAGAGTGAAGACCGGAGGACAGTCGTGGGTCAGAGGTGACAGCAAGGTCAAAGATCAGAAATGATCAGAGAACACAAGTGGTATCAGACACATCAAAATAGTGTTTGCCCATATGCGCTAAATACAAATAAAAATTACAAAAAGACACAATAACCTAATCAACTAAAGAACAGGAGGATTAATACATCATACATAAAGAACACCAATAAATCGACAAGAAAAAGTCACATGAGCCAACTGAAAAATGAGCAAAGAGTAAGAACTGACAGTTCACAGAGAAATTAAAATGGCCAATCGTGGCAAATGTTCAGTTTCACTAGTAAACAACGAAATTAAAATGAAATTACATTTAAAAAATCCATTAGATTGGTAATAATTCAAATCACTGGTAACATTCAATATCAATATTCAATATGCTGGGGAAGTGGGTATTCTCATAGACTATGGGAATATAACTTTTAGGAGACAATTTGGCAGTATCAAAAAATATATATATAGCTTTTTGGAGATGGTGTCCCGCTCTGTCACCCAGGCTGGAGTGCAATGGCATGATCTTGGCTCACTGCAACCTCCGCCTCTTGGGTTCAAGCAATTTTCCTGTCTCAGCCTCCCAAGTAACTGAAATTACAGGCGCCCGCCACCACGCCTGGCTAATTTTTGTATTTTTAGTAGAGACGGGTTTTTGCCATGTTGGCCAGGTTGGTCTTGAACTCCTGACCCCAATGATCTACCCGCCTCGGCCTCCCAAAGTGCTGGGATTACAGGCATGAGCCAAAGCGACTGGTCAGCAGTATCAAAATATTAAATGCATATACCCTTTAATATCATTAAATATACATGGTAATTACATGTCTAGGAATACATCTAATACAATGCCTAGGCAAATGTTGTGTTCATCACATTGTTTGTAAGAGTGAAAAATGGGAAATAATATAAGTGTCTAATCTCTCACACAGGTATTAAGTGAAAAAATAAGTCACAGAAGAGGTTGCATGATCTCATTTATGTTGAAACAAAAGTAACACGTGCATGCACATGTGAAAATATGCAGGAAGGCTGGGCAAGGTGGCTCATGCCTGTAATCCCAGCCCTTTGGGAAGCCGAAGCGGGTGGATCACTTAAGGTCAGGAGTTCGTGACCAGCCTGGCCAACATGGTGAAATCCTATCTCTACTAAAAATACAAAAATCAGCTGAGCATAGTGGTGCACGCCTGTAATCCCAGCTACTCAGGAGGCCGAGGCAGGAGAATCGCTTGAACCCAGGGGGCAGAGACTGCAGTGAGCTGGTATCGCGCCACTGCACTCCAGCTTGGGCGACAGAGCCAGACTCCATCTCAAAAACCAAACCAAACCAAAACAAAACAAACGAACAAACAAAACTTCCTTCCATGACTGCCCTGTGTGCCTGTGATATTAGCACATGGGACCCTGTGAGATCAGGTGCCACTGACTCCCAGCTTCTCCTCTGACTGCTCCTCCTCACTCAGTAACAACAATATGTCCTGGTGGTTCCCAAACACCCTGAGCTATTTCTGTCTTCTGTGCCTGGACTGTTCTGCATTTTCTTTATCTTGTATAGTTCCATGAGGATCAGCAAGTGTATGTTCCCACGCAATCACCAGTCCTATCAAAATATAGGACATTTTTATCGTCCTGGAATGTTCCCTCGTGTGCCCCACTATAGGCAATCATTTCCCCATACCCTGCCACAGGCAACTGCTGATCTGATTTCCATCACTGTGGATTGGTTTTGGCTGTTTTAGAAGTTTATAGCCAGGTGCAGTGGCTCAAGCCTGTAATCCCAGCACTTTGGGAGGCCGAGGTGGGCAGATCACGAAGTCAGGAGATCGAGACCATCCTGGCCAACATGGTGAAACCCTGGCTCTACTAAAAATACAAAAATTAGCTGGACATGGTGGCATATGCCTGTAATCCTAGCTACTCAGGAGGCTGAGGCAGAAGAATCACTTGAACCGGGGAGTCAGAGGTTGCAGTGAGGTGGGATCCTGCCACTGCACTCCAGCCTGGTGACAGAGACAGACTCCATCTCAAAAAAAAAAAAAAAAAACCAAAACAAAAATTAGCTGGGTGTGGTGGCATGCACCTGTGATCCCAGCTACTTGGGAGGCTGAGGCAGGAGAATCCCTTGAACCTGGGAGGCTGAGGTTGCAGTGAGCTGAGATTGTGCCACTGCACGCTAGCCTGGGCAACAAGAGCGAAACTCTGCCTTAAAAAAAAAAAAGTATATAGGCCAGGCACTGTCGCTCATGCCTGCAATCCAGCACTTTGGGGAGGCCGAGGCAGGATGATCCCTTGAGCCCAGGAGTTCGAGACCACACCCGTCTAATTTTTAAAATTTTTTGTAAAAAAAAATGTTTTTAATTAGCCGGGTGTGGTGGCATGTGTCTGTAGTCTCAGCTACTTGGGAGGCTGAGGCAGGAGGATGATTTGAGCCTGGGAGGTTGAAGTTGCCGTGAGCCATGATCACACTACTGCACTACACGCCTGGTGACAGAGCAAGACACTGTCTCCAACAAAAACCAACAAAATTAATATTGTGTCAGTCTCTGATTTAAAGCAAAACTACCTGAGGGTCACCACCTCCTGGAAACCTGTCCTGATATCCCTGCTGGGCCAGGTACTTCCTGTCTGTGCGTGTCACCTTCTACCTATCACCAGTACGGCAAGTTCACATTGTTTCACGATTTGATCACCTACTTCCCTAACCCAGAGAGGACTGTGTGTTACTGCCAGCACTGCTAGGTGCTTAGAAAAATGTTTATTAAGGCTGGGCACGGTGGCTCACGCCTGTAATCCCAGCACTTCGGGAGGCCGAGGCGGGCGGATCACCCGAGGTCAGGAGTTCGAGAAGAGCCTGGCCAACATGGTGAAACCCCCGTCTCTACTAAAAATACAAAAATTAGCCAGGTGTGGTGGTGGGCGCCTGTAATCCCGGCTACTCGGGAGGCTGAGGCAGAAGAATCGCTTGAACCTGGGAGGCGGAGGTTGCAGTGAGCCGAGATCAACAGAACAAAACTCTCTCTCAAAAAAAAAAAAAAAAAAAAAGAAAAGAAAATGTTTATTAAATGAAGGACTAAATCAGAGAGATTTGAGAAGATCATGGAGAACAGAGAGGGTCAGTATTGTAGAGAGGGGTTTAAAAGGTTATAGGAGGTTAGAGAGGTCAAGGGTCAGAAGAGATGACCAAGTTTGGGGGTCAGAAAGGTCGGCGCGAAATCAGAGAGATCAATGTGGTTAAAGATGTCAAAGGTCAGGAAGATTAAAGAAGTCACGGGGCGGGTCATTGAGGTCAGGAGGGTTCAGATGAGAAAAGAGAGGATGAAGGACTCAGAGATTACACAGGGGGTCAAGAAAGCCACAGACAAGCTCAGAAGGGATGTCAGTGTCTCACCACCGGGCCAAGGTCCCAGGCCGGGGTGGGGCGTAGCTGTCATGCCGGTGCAGCTGTAGGAAGTCTCTGCCTGGGCCCTGTGCCAGCTCAGTGATCTCTTGGGCCCACCACCGTGCCTGCCGGTAGCTGCTGCACTTGAGAATCAAGGACCTGGATGGGAACGATGAGATGTCCATAAATCCTCGCCCTCCATACCTGTGATCTTGCCTAGAGACCTCCCCTTTCCCACTTCCTCCCTTAGTCCCTAATCACAACTGCACAGGGATAGGGCGTGTATGTATCTGCCTTATTTATTTATTTATTTTTGAGACAGAGTTTAGCTCTTGTCCCCCAGGCTGGAGTGCAGTGGTGCGATCTCTGCTCACTGCAACCTCTGCACCCCAGCTTCAAGCGATTCTCCTGCCTCAGCCTCCCAAATAGCTGGGATTACAGGCACGCACCACCACGCCCGGCTAATTTTTGTATTTTTAGTAGAGACAAGGTTTTAGCATGTTGGCTGGGCTGGTCTCGAACTCCTGACCTCAGGTGATCCACCCGCCTCGGCCTCCCAAAGTGCTGGGATTGTAGGTGTGAGCCACCGCGCCCGGCCATATCCACCTTACTCATAGTTGGATCCTAGTATTGCATCAGCAACCAGTATTGTACCAGGCACTCGGGTTTGTTGAATGAACAAATGAACAAATGGAATTTCGTTTATGTCAGCAGTTCCCTTCCCAGGCTTCTACTAATCCCCTTTCTCTGGGCCCAGTCTAAGAGCAGTCCCAAGCATCTGGCTAGACCAGTTCCTGGTTCAAAACTATGTCCCGATCCAGGGAGGTGGAAAAGCCTTCCTCTCTCCTGTGGTCTCTCTTTCTCAACTCCCAGCAAGGCCGTGGGTGGGCTCACCACTCAGCTGGTGTCTCTCACCCCAGGGAGGCCTCACCTGTGGGAGGTATCGATCCGCACGCCGTGCCGTGCCTCCGTGCTCCTTTTCCCCACTTGCACCTCAAAGCCAGGGTCAAAGAGCTGAACAAATGAGATGGCACCTGTCTCGAGGCACATGTACAGCAGGAAGGAGTCCTTCACCACCAGCCACCTAGAGCAGAAGGGCTCCGTGTGTTCCTCTCTGCCCTCAAAATTTTCTTCCTCACCCCCACCCACTGCCCAGCTGCTTGGCCATAGCCCGTACCTCTTGGACCAGCGATAACAAACTTGGTCTCGGCCACAGCAGGTGAGGCCAGGAACACGGTGGCCACCTGAGCGCTTCCGGATCATCCCCTCCCTGTGGGACAATCAGGAAGAGAGGCGGGATGAGGACTCCAGACCCCCAGCCCACCCTGCACTGCTTGCCCCAATCTCAGGCAGGGAGAAATTAAGAGTGATGTCTACGGATGCCTGGGTGAAGGGGGCCAGACACTCACAGTCCTTTGCGGCCCAAGTCCGGGATAAAGGACAGCTGACTGACTTCCAGGAACTCTGTCTGCAGAGGAAAACAAAAGCCCGGAGGAGACACCTGGCTTTCAGCCCCTCAGACCCTGGGGCCCCTGGCCCTCCTCCCCGAGGGTCTGATAATCCTGCTCCACATCTAAAATCGGCCCCTGGACCTTACCATGGCATGGTAGTTGCGATAGAAAGACATGGTCAAGAGACGGTTGAGGTAATTCTCCAGGTATTTCTGAAGTGGAGATGAGAGAGAGAGAGAGACAGATGGGACCGAGCCATTTGCACCTCCAATGCCTTCCCGGAGGACCTGGCATCTGGTCCCACCTGTTTGCTGGCTGCATGTCTGGTGGAGCCCTCAGGACCTGCCCGGGGTAGAGAGGGCATCTCTCTGTTGCCTGCATCTCGGGCTGGAGAATAGGCAACGGCAAATCTGTGGAAAGGATGGATGAAGGTCAGGTAAGAGCTGGGAGGCTGGGTGCTCTGGTTCCTGAAAACACTGGAGATGGGGCTCGGAGGAAAAGAAGAGGCCTGGAGGTGGCCAGGCGTGGTGGCTCACGCCTGGAATCCCAGCACTTGGGGAGGCCGCAGCAGGTGGATCACTTGAGCTCAGGAATTTAAGACCAGCCTGGGCAACACAGCAGCACCCCATCTCTACAAAATATACAAAAATTAGTTGGGTGTGGTGGCTGTGGTCCTAGCTACTCTGGAGGCTGAGACGGGAGGACTGCTTGAGCCCAGGAGGTTGCCATGAGCCAAGATCATACCACTGCACTCTAGCCTGGGTGACAGAGGGAGACCTTGTACAAAACAAAAACAAAAAACAAACAAAAGGCCTAGAGGCTGGCAAAACGGAGGCCCCCTACCCTGGGAATGGAGACTAGAAAAGGGTGAGGCTGCCAAGAGCATTTTGGGCATCCCGCCCAGCTGAGATGCTGGCACAGAACCATGGACAGGGAAAGCTGAGCAGGGAAAGTTTCCTGGTAACTGGGGTCAGGGGAGGCAGCACAGTGGCCAGAGTTGCAGGGAGGAAAGGTTGTGGCCCCGGGGTGAGACAGACAGAAAGGAGGGTGGGGAGCACCTGCCCTCTACAGGAAGCAGTCCGGTCGCCCTCACCGAGCCAGAGGGAGCAGACTCATCAAGACTTTGTGTCTCAGGAGGTCCCGATGCAGCTCCTGAAAATGACGGTATTTCTTCTTGGTTGTCCAGGAAAAGTCGCCGTGAGTCAAGCGGACAGAATACAGAGTGCAGGTTCCCACCTAGGGGTATGAGGAACTGAATGGATGTCCCCTGCGTGGGTCCCCGCCTCCCCACTCTGGCCAGCCCTCCTTTTGCCCCTTCCCTGGGGCCAGCCCAGCCACCTTGGATCCATTCCGGGCCGCCCTCCCTTTCCCCCTCCCTGGGGCCAGTCTGGCCACCTTGGATCCGCTGGTATATCTTTCGGTGCCCACCACCTGGGCTGTGACAGGGACCCCAGGTGCGAACACCAAGGGGTGCACTTTCAGAGACTGAAGCTCATAGATGGCCAGAAACGGGTGCATCCGGTCGGCTGGGAGGAAAGAAAGTCGAGGAGTGTAGACCACAACAGGCCCCAGCCCCCTGGCTCCCGAACGCCTCTCCTCCCTGAGGGCCATCCATCTTCCCTGTGTACCTGGGTCCTCTCCCTCCTTCAGGGTGTCCACCTCATCGGACTCCATCTGGAGCTGGCTGGAGTCCAGTTCGTCCCCAGTGGGGAAGAGGCTCTCAGGGGTCGCCGTCATCCTAGGAACATTGGGAAGCCTCAGGGAGGCGAGCTGTCCTGCAGAACCCGCCCCCCATCCTAACTCCCGCAGGTCCTCCATCTCTTCCAGATCCTCCTCTTCCCCCACGGCCTCCTGACCGCCCGCGGATGACGCCTGACCAGTTTGCAACGCCCCACCGACCCCTTCGAGCCCCCATCCCCTACCTTAGTCCTTCATCCACAATCCCAGTCCCGCCCCCCGCCCCCCGCCCCGTCCCGTAACCAGAGCCCCGGGGAACACCCAGCCAGGCCCGGAAGGCTCCGACCTGGGGCGGCGCAGCAGCTGCGCGGGGAAGCGGCCCTGGGTGGTCCGGAGAGCGCGCGGCTACGGGGCTCACGCCAGGCCAGGCGGGCCGGGGGCAGGGGTCCAGGCGGGAATGAGGAAGTTACGCGATCCCAGCCGGGGGTAGAAATCCCGAAATCTGAGCGTGCGACTGAGTCTGGAGGCCCCGCAGCCCGAGCCCGTTCCGTCCCCGCCCGATTTCCGAGACCCGGGACCCCCGCGCGCCCCTTCCCGGCCCCCTCACCCTGGCAGACGGAGCCAGCGCCCGCGGGGGTTCCGGAGCCAAGAGAGCAGACCGGAGCTGCAGCCGGAGCCCACGCCCCGGCCGAGGCGGGGCCGGCCGAGGCGGGGCCGGGGCTCAGGGCCTGCCCTCGGGGGCGGGGCGGCCCCCGGCCTCACCTCCGCGGGATTCTCGTCTGTCCTGTCCCGCCCCCGCTGCCCTCGGCCCGCCCCGCCGCCCAGTGCGCCACCGAGAGCCCCGGGCAGGGGGCCGCCCTGTGCCCTGCAGGGCCGCGGGGCCGCGTAGCTCTCTCGGTGCGGCGGGTAAGTGCTGCCCGGCGTCGGGGCGTCCCGCGCCGTCGGTCCCAGCGTGCCCGGCCGCTGCCTCCCGGGGCACCCCGCGCTGCGCGCATCCCTCGGGCTCGGCGCCCGCCCCGGGCCCCTCCAGCCGCGGGCGCTGCCTCGGCGCCCGGGGGACGCGCCTCCGCTGCGGGAGCTGCCGGTAGGTGCCCCGCTCCCGGACCCGCTGCGAGCCACATTTGGCCTAGCCCAGATAGCGTTTGTACCTGGAAGGAATGAGGGCGTAAAAGGCCTGAGGGGTGGTGGCTACAAACCCATTAGTGTATGAAAGCGGGCATTCTTTCATTCATTCACCAAACATTTATTGCGCGCTTACTCCGTGCCAGAAATTGAGAGTATGGTAGTAAATAAGATGGTTAGAGAGCCTGCTCAGCTGGAATTGGCAGTCTAGGGGGAAATAAAATTTTTTCGGGTATTAAAATACAAGATATTTCAATCTTTTTTAAAAAGCAGATTTATTTTTCTCTTTTGATATACATGTGGGTTTCTAGTTTTGCCCATTGTTTTAGCTCCTGTAAACATTCCTGTAAGTTTGCGTGGATAGTTTTCCTTTATCTTGGGTAACTAGGGAGTGGAGTTGTTCGATCATATCAGTGTGTGTTTAACTTATAAGAAACTGCCAAACGATTTTTTTCTAAATGGTTTTTCCATTCTAGATTTCCAAAATCAGTGTATGGTGGTTCCAGTTATTCCATGGCATGGCCAACGTTGGATATTGTCAGTCTTTAGCGTTGGCCATTTAATGGGTGTTGTGGGCACATCATTGCAATTTGATTTGCATTTGTCTGGAGATCAATGATATTGACCATGTTTCATGTGCTGATTGGCCATTTGTATGTCTTCTTTTATAAAGTGCCTATTCAGTCTTTTGCTATTTTTTATTTATTTTTATTTTTATTTTTATGAGACGGAGTCTCGCTCTTTTTTTTTCTTTTTTTGAGATGGAGTCTTGCTGTGTTGCCCAGGCTGGAGTGCAGTGGCGCGATCTCGGCTCACTGCAAGCTCCGCCTCCCAGGTTCACGCCATTCTCCTGCCTCAGCCTCCTGAGTAGCTGGGACTACAGGCGTCCGCCACCACGCCCAGCTAATTTTTTTTGTATTTTTAGTAGAAACGGGGTCTCACCGTGTTATCCAGGATGGTCTCGATCTCTTGACCTTGTGATCCGCCCTCCTCGGCCTTCCAAAGTACTGGGATTACAGGCGTGAGCCACCGCGCCCGGCCAGAGTCTCGCTCTTGTTGCCCATGCTGGACTGCAGTGGCGTGATCTCGGCTCACTGCAACCTCCCCCTTCCAGGTTCAAGGGATTTCCGGCTAATTTTTGTATTTTTAGTAGAGACGGGGTTTCACCATGTTGGCCGGGCTGGTCTCAAACTCCAGACCTCAAGTGATCCGCCCTCCTCAGCCTCCCAAAGTGCTGGGATTACAGGCGTGAGCCACCGTTCCCGGCCTTTTGCTAATTTTTTTTTTTGAGACAGAGTTTCGCTGTTATTGCCCAGGCTGGAGTGCAATGGCGCGATCTCGGCTCACTGCAACCTCCGCCTCCCGGGTTCTCTCCTGCCTCAGCCTCCTGAGTAGCTGGGATTACAGGCACCTGCCACCACGCCTAGCTAATTTTTTGTATTTTTAGTAGAGACGGGGTTCCTCCATGTTGGTCAGGCTGGCGTCGAACTCCTGACCTCAAATGATCCGCCCTCCTTGGCCTAAAGTGCTGGGATTACAGGCGTGAGCCACCGCACCCGGTCTTAAACTTATAAAACAGGCAAAAACAACCTATAGTGATGGAAATCAGATCAGTAGTTGCTTGTGGCAGGGTGTAGGGAAAAGATTGCCTGTAAAGGGACACGTGAGGGAACATTCCAGGATGATAAGAATGCCCTGTATTTTGATAGGAGTGGTGATTGCATAGGAGCATACACTTGGTAATACTCATGGAACTGTACGTTAAGATGTGTGCATTACATTGTATGTGCATTTTTGCTTCAATAAAGTTCATTGAAAGAAAAAGAAGGCGGGGCGCGGTGGCTCACACCTGTAATCCCAGCACTTTGGGAGGCCGAGGCGGGCAGATCACGAGGTCAGGAGATCGAGACCATCTTGGCTAACATGGTGAACCCCGTCTCTACTAAAAATACAAAAAATTAGCTGAGTGTGGTGATGCGTACTACTCGGGAGGCTGAGGCAGGAGAATCATTTGAACCAGGGAGTCAGAAATTGCAGTGAGCCGGGACAGTGCCACTACACTCCGGCCTGGTGACAGAGTGAGACTGTCTCAAAAAAAAAAAAAAAAGAAAGAAACATTTCTGTGTAACTCAGGCAGTACCCTGTAATCAGCAACCTAACACTCCCCACGTTGTGGCACCCTCAGGGAATGATGAAACAGCACTTGTGGCTGGGCGCAGTGGCTCACGCTTGGAATCCCAGCACTTTGCGAGGCTGAGGAGGGCAGATCACGAGGTCACGATATCGAGACCATCCTGGCTAACACAGGGAAACCCTGTCTCTATTAAAAATACAAAAAATTAGCCAGGCGTGGTGGCGGGCACCTGTAGTCCCAGCTACTTGGGAGGCTGAGGCAGGAGAATGGCGTGAACCCGGGAGGCGGAGGTTGCAGTGAGCTGAGATCGTGCCACTGCACTCCAGCCTGGGCAACAGAGCGAGACTCCATCTCAAAAAAAAAAAAAAGAAAAAAGAAAAAAAACACAGCACTTCCACAGCTTTACTTAAGAGCACTTAGAGTCCTTGGCTAGGATGCTCTTGACTAGATGCTCCCAGCCTTGGCTCTGGCCACCCCAAACTGTCTGAGGGCATCGATGCTTGCTTGGGGACATGCTTCAGAAGCTCAGTGTACTGGTCAAAAGAGTAGATTCTGGGCTGGGTGTGGTGGCTGATGCCTGTAATCCCAGCACTTTGGGAGGCTGAGGCAGGCAGATCACTTGAGGTCAGGAGTTGGAGAACAGCCTGGCCAACGTGGTGAAAGCCCATCTCTACTAAAAATACAAAATGTGGCTGGGGATGGTGGCGGGTGCCTGTAATCCCAGCTACTTGGGAGGCTGGGACAGGAGACTCGCTTGAGCCCTGGAGACGGAGGTTGCAGTGAGACGAGATTGCACCACTGTAATCCAGCCTGGACAACAGAGCAAGACTCCATCTCAAAAATTAAAAAAAGGCCGGGTGCTGTGTCTCATGCCTGTAATCCCAGCACTTTGGGAGGCCGAGGTGGCCGGATCACGAGCTCAGGAGATCGAGACCATCCTGGCTAACACGGTGAAACCCCATCTCTACTAAAAATACAAAAAAAATTAGCCGGGTGTGGTGGTGGGCGCCTATAGTCCCAGCTACTCAGGAGGCTGAGGCAGGAGAATGGCGTGAACCCGGGAGGCAGAGTTTGCAGTGAGCCAAGACCGCGCCACTGCATTCCAGCCTGAGTGACAGAGCGAGACTCTGTCTCAAAAAAAAAAAAAAAAAAAAAAAAAATTAAAAAAAACAATAGATTTTTGGGGTCAGACTGACTCAAGGTGAGGGTTGTGAGCTGGGCATGGTTCCTACTCGGCTAATAACTGCCTGCGTGACCTTGGGCAAATTACCTTACCTCTCAGTGCCTGCTTTTTCACATCTGTAAAACCAGGATAGACTCACCTAACCAGTGAGGGACTTACCTCAAAAGATCTTTGAGGCCGGGTGCGGTGGCTCACACCTGTAATCCCAGCACTTTGGGAGGACAAGGCGGGTGGATTGCCTGAGGTCAGGAGTTCGAGACTAGCCTGGCTAACATGGTGAAACCCCGTCTCTACTAAAAATACAAAAAAATTAGCTGGGCATGGTGGTGTACGCCTGTAGTCCCAGCTACTTGGGAGGCTGAGGCAGGAAAATCACTTCAACCCAGGAGGCAGAGTTGCAGTGAGCCGAGATTGCGCCACTGCACTCCACCCTGGGCGAGAGAGTGAGACTCTGTCCCCCAAAAAAAAGATCTTTGACGTGATTAAGTGAAATGAGACAACATGTAAAAGTCTCTAGCATTTACCTGACACAGCATAATTAATCAATTACAATCATCTTCATAACAGGGGACAGGAACTATCAGACCATTTAATGAGAATCTAACATTTCCCTGAATAATAAAGTTTCTTATTCTAAAAAAATAGAGTATTCTTTGAAAGTTTACATCTTGGGCACTTCAATTCTCATTCTAAAATACAAAGGAATCCCCAGCGGTGTCCAGCCTGGCGCCAAGTTGTCGGGCATTGCCATAGTGAAATGTGACTGCATCTGTCTGTCACAGCACCTCTGCGTCTGTCCCTGCCGTGCCACCTCTCCCAACCACCTCCTGCTTCTCCATGGGGATCAGAAAGGACCCCCAAATTAATGGGGCATAAAAATAGGTGTCTGAATGGGAGTGTACCCCCACCCCTTTCTTCCTCCCTCCTCTCCCCTTTCCATCCCTGGCGCCTGTAATCACCAGGCGGTCTGAGGCTAAGTGGTAGTTTTGCCCATGGTGGGGGGGCTTGGAAACCACACCCCTCTCCCGGGGGCCCTCCTGGCCATTCCCAGCTCTGATCGCCTCCACTGTTGAGATGGGTCTGAAGGGGGCATGGTGTTTCCCATGGTGCGGGTGCCGGAGGCAGCGGGGGACTGAAAGAGGAGCAGGTATGGAGTAGACTGAGGGTAAAGCGGGGCTGTCAGGCAGACAGAGAGACAACTGCATGGCAGGGAGAGAAATGCTCAAACCAGCAAAGGGAAAAGGATCATCTGTCTCCCTGGGTGGGAGATGGATCACCGAAGTCCTCACAGGACAGGCTAAATACTTTGTAGGGCCCAGTTCGAAATGACCAAGTGGGGCCCCTTGTTAACAATTTAAGAATTTCGGCCGGGTACGGTGGCTCATGCCTGTAATCCTAGCACTTTGGGAGGCCAAGGTGGGTAGATCACGAGGTCAGGGGATGGAGACCATCCTGGCTAACACGGTGAAACCCACCTCTACTAAAAATACAAAAAATTAGCCGGGTGTGGTGGCGGGCGCCTGTAGTCCCAGCTACTCGGGAGGCTGAGGCAGGAGAATCACTTGAACCCGGGAGGCGGAGGTTGCAGTGAGCCGAAATAGTGCCATTGTACTCCAGCCTGGGCAACAGAGTGAGACTGTCTCAAAAAAAAAAAAAAATTAAGAATTTCAAGATGGTGACAGCAGAGACCTATGCCAAGCATGGTGGCCCTTCTGAGTCGGAGGATCCTATGCAACTGCACAGGTCACATGTGTGCGAGCCAGTCCTGCTTGCTCTGCAACAGCCCCTCTCCCTCCCCCTGCTGCTGCCACCAACACTCCTCACCAGCCCCCAGGCCCCAGGTGTCTTCCCTTGCTTCTTCCCTCCTCAACCCTGGGTTGGGGGTGAGGGAGGAGGTGAACCCTGACCTACAACTTCCTTCTTCCTCCAATCTTTTAGGCCTGAGTCCTGCTGCCCCTCCAGATCCCAGTCCAGCTATAGCCCCCACCATGGCTGAGGGAGGGGTACCCTCGCCAGGGCCTGGTGCCTACTTCAGCAGGAAAGCCCGACTCTCCTTCCGCCACCAGCTGCATGACATAGCATCGGCCAATGACTCCACCATTTGAAGGGGACGACGAGGAGGTGAACCTCCAGGAAGGCTTAGCAAGCTTCCTTCCCCAGATTTCTCAGCGATCCTAATGTCCACCTCCCCAAGTCCTTTCTAACCTTCTCATCAAATGTGTTCATAGTTGCTAAGTGCTGTGTGTGTGTGTGCTGGGGGTGTAGATGGGGCCAAGGCTGCAGGGCTGGGTTATGGGGCTGAGATGGGAAGTGTTGTCTACGGTGGGAGTGAGACACACGAATGATGAATATGAGGCAGCTGACCTAACGCAGAGCCCAGGTGTGACAAGCGGGAAAGTAAGAATTGGCTGACGTCAAGCTTCGGGGTTGAGTGTGGTGAAGGCAGGCTGGGGTGGCTGGGGGCAGGGCAGGATAGCAGATGGGATGAGAAAGCATATTCATTCAGTAAATGCCGAGTGTCCACCCCTGCCAGGCGTGGAGGATGTATCAATGAACCAGGAAGGAACAATTCTCTCTTCTCACTGAACTGACTTGCTAGTAGAGGGAGGGAGACAATCATACACAGGTAACAGCTAAGCAGAACCCAAGATGGTGATGTGTGCTGCTTTGAAGAAAATGAAACAGGGTCATGTGAGAGTGGGATTAGGGGGTGGTGATTCTTCAGTTTCAGGTGGTTGGGAAAGGCCTTTCTGATGAGGTGACATTTGAGCTGAGAGCTGAATGATGAGCAGCCATGTGGAAATCTGGGAGTGATGTGTCAGTGCAGGTTTACTAGTTCCAACAAATGGCCATCTCTGGTGCAGAATGTTGACAGTGGGGGAGGTTGCCCACGTGGGGAGAGGAGCACATGGGAAATATCTGTATTTTCGACTCAATTTTGCTGTGAACCTAAAACTGATCTAAAAAATGAATTTTAGGCTGGGTGCAGTGGCTCACGCCTGTAATCCCAGCACTTTGGGAGGCCCGGGCAGGTGGATCACCTGAGGTCAGGAGTTCGAGACCAGCCTGGCCGACTTGGTGGAACCCTGTCTCTACTAAAAATACAAAAAAATTAGCCAGACGTGGTGGTGGACGCCTATAATCCCAGCTACTCAGGAGGCTGAGGCAGGAGAATCACTTGAACCCAGGAGGTGGAGGTTGCAGTGAGCCGAGATCACACCACTGCACTCCAGCCTGGGGGACAGAGCCAGACTCTGTCTTAAAAGAAAAAAAAAATTTGGGAGGCCAAGGCAGGTGGATCACCTGAGGTCGGGAGTTTGAGACCAGCCTGACCAAAGTGGAGAAACTCCGTCTCTACTAAAAATACAAAATTAGCTGAATGTGGTGGCGCATGCCTGTAATCCCAGCTACTCGGGAGGCTGAGACAGGAGAATTGCTTGAATCCGGGATGTGCAGGTTGCAGTGAGCCAAGATCACGCCATTGCATTCCAGCCTGGGCAATAAGAGTGAAACACTGTCTCAAAAAAAAAAAAAAAAAATTTATTTAAAAAGAGCTGGGTGCAGTGGCTCACGCCTATAATCCCAGCTACTCAAGAGGCTGAGGCAAGAGGATCTCTTGAGGCCACTTCAAGACCAGCTTGGGCAACATAGGGAGACCTTGTCTCTAAAAAATATTTAAGGCCGGGTGTGGTGGCTCATGCCTGTAATCCCAGAACTTTTGGAGGCTGAGGTGGGTGGATCACCTGAGGTCAGGAGTTCAAGACCAGCCTGGTCAACTTGGCAAAACCCCATCTCTACTAAAAATACAAAAACTAGCCAGGCACAGTGGTGCCCGCCTATAATCCCACCTACTTGGGAGGCTGAGACAAGAGAATCGCCAGAACCCGGGAGGCGGAGGTTGCAGTGAGCCAAGACCAGGCTACTGCACTCCAGCCCGGGCAACAGAGTGAGACTCCATCTCAAAAAAAATAAAATAAATAACTAAATAAAATAAAAAAAGGATGGGCACAGTGGCTCATGCCTGTAATCCCAGCACACTGGTAGGCTGAGGCAGGAGAATCACTTAAGCCCAGGAGTTTGAGGTTACAGTGAGCTATGACAGTGACACTGCTGCCTGGATGACAGAGCGAGACTCTGTCTCTAAAAAATACATAATAATAAAATTAGCCTGAGGTGAGGTGACACACACCTGTAGTCCCAGCTATCGAGCTCCTTTATGTCCCTGGCTTGAGTGGGGACAGCTTCGGAAGGGCCAGAGTCTATTTTCAGCCTCTCATCCAAGAGGTTGATCACACCCCCTACCATGGGAATGGTGGCTTCCAGAGCTGGCCAAACCACTCCCAGTGGTTTTGTTCTCCCACTCATCATTCATCTTAAATTCCATTTGCAGACAAGGCCCACCTTTCTCCCAAAAGCCAAGGAAGTCACAGTGCTACTGCTGACCACAAGGTGAGGTAACAGAGGTTAAGTGTGGAGAGAGGGGACCATGAGGCTGGGCTGGAGGAGGCTGGTCTTTGTGGCCTTAGGGACAGTAGTCACCCAGGATGACTGGCAGGAAGCAGGCTGAAGGAAGGTGACTCCAGTTTTAGTCAGAATTCCGAGTTCCACCTTGGGCTTGAACAGGGAGTGGGTGTTGCTGGTACCCCCAACACCAACCACAATCCAGTGGTTCAAGGACCTGGATATGGTGGGGGAAAGGAAGTTTGGGGGAAGGCAATTTGGAGAAGAGGTTTGAAAACCACCCATGTAAAAGTTTACTGGGGAATAAAGCATTCATAAACTCCTTTCATCTCCTCTCCAACTTGCTCTGAGTTCAGTGCAATGGTTTTTACAAATAGGAATGGGCCAGACAAATTCGGACTTGAAGTCAAAAAAAAAAGAACCCCAAAGTACAAAGATTCTCTGTGACAAACTTTATTAAATTTTGCATCAGTACAGGGCATCTCTTATTGCATACTAGAATCCCAGGATTCAGGCGGGTGGTAAAGTGGCAACGGCGAATTTGGGTATCTGGTCTCCCAAAAGTACTTGCCGCTCTACCCCTGACTCTGCAATGGCTGCCAGGCGGATCACTCCTCCACTGGAGCCATCCCGCTCCATGGCCAAAGCGAGAGCTGTGGATAAAAGAAGAAAGCTGGGTTCAGATTCAGATGCCGGGATCACTGCAAGGAATGAGGAATGCTGGCCTGGCTTGGGTAGTTGGGGTTGAAGCTCATAGGCCCAGAAGCCTAAGCTCTCACCATTGGCAGTGAATTGCAGACACTCTTCCTTGGTCATGCCTTCCCGGTAGGTAGCATCAACATAGCCATAGATGTAGGAGCTCCCGGAGCCTCCAATGGCAAAGGACTGCCTTACCATCATACCCCCCATAGGCACTGAGTACACCTGCCAGATAGAAGGAGAGGAGTCACCAGTCGTATCCTCCCTCCAACACACGTACATTCACCTGTCCATTCTGCTATTGGTCTGAGGCACGTTAATAGTAAGAATAAGTGAGGTAGAGACTGGAAAGAAAAAGAAAATGGCTGGGGAGAGGATAAAAGTCCTGGCTCAAGTGTGCTCTGGTCGGGTGGGGATCTGACCTGCCCTCCTTCTTGAGGGTCCCAGCCTGCGATGATGATTCCCGCCATCAGGTCTTCCCGGTATCGGTAACACATCTCCTTAAAGAGGCTGGCTGCTGTGTGGACCAGTGGAGGCTCATTCAGTTCAATGCTAGAGGGTCAGGGAAGTCACAGAGAAAGTTTCAAGACCTAGAAGTCAGGCTATTTAGCTCCTCAGCTTCCAACTCCCTTCAGATACTTGCCCCTCCCCTGCCCACAAGCACCTGTGGAAACCGAGCTGGTAGGTGACAGCATCAGCTACTGCCTGGGTATCAGCAGCTGAGCCTGAGCGACAGCAGAAAATGCGGTCGTGAATAGGTGTCAGCTTGTCAGTCACTCGATTGGCGATGTAGGACCTGCAGGATGGCAGAATAGTGAGGAAAGGAGCCCACCTGTCTTCCACCTCCATCCCATCACTACCCACTCTCTTAGGGCTCAGGGATAGGATGTCCAGTATTGCCTTTTTTTCCTTTTTCTTTGAGATGGAGTCTCGCTCTGTTGCCCAGGCTGGAGTACAGTGACGCGATCTCTGCTCACTGCAACATCCACCTCCTGGGTCCAAGCGATTCTCTAGCCCTAGCCTCCCAAGTAGCTGGGACTGCAGGCACGCACCGCCACGCACGGCTAATTTTTGTATTTTTTAGTAGAGACGGGGTTTCGCCATGTTGGCCAGGCTGGTCTCGAACTCCTGACCTCAGGTGATCCACCCGCCTCGGCCTCCCAAAGTACTGGGATTACAGGCGTGAGCCACCGTGCCTGGCCTCCAGTATTGCTTATTCTCATCCAAACTGAAGCGGGCTGGAGAACAGACTTTTGTAAGGATTCCACTAACGAGTGAGGGGAACTGAAAGTAACAAAAGTTGGGACAAATCTTTATCTCCAGAGAGAGAAGAAACCTCTCTTCCCACAGTGGTCTGTGGAGGCAGGCAGGGTGGGCTGGCAGGCAGGAAAGGAAAAGGAAGATGGGAAGACCTTTCACAAATCTGTCCTGAGCTCACCCAGTGGTTGTTCTGGAGTCCGCCCCCAGAACCACGCCCCCGTCAAACTGCACGGCCATGATAGTGGTCTGGGAAAAGGGAAAAAGGAGTAAGTCTACATTCTCCAGCAGACACAAACCTCAATGATCTCTCTACCTAGTTCCAAAAATACAAAATCTGTCCGTCGCTGAACCATTTTCAAATCTTATAGGGGCCTCAGCACCCCGCAGAATACCAGAATGCCAACCCTCAAATCTCAAAAGACTCATCCCGTACTTAAGCCCAAGATCCTCACTAGCCTCGCAGGATTTCAGAATTTCAAACTTCAGCCCACCCTCCACCTCCCACTACGAAGCTACCGCACCACTCCACCATCTTCGGGGTACCTCTCCCCATTCCTGGAGCACAACACATTCCACCTCCTCTCCACCCCTGCCAGATCTCTCAACCCCACTCAGGCTTTATCTTCCCATCGCGTCAGGCCTTGTGCACGTCCTATGAACCCCGATTCCTTCCTCACCCCAGTGGAAACTTCTCGGCTTTCCCAGTCTGGAGTGAACGCCTCCGGCCCCCAAGCCGGTGCTGGCCCGGCTCCCCGAGCAGCTAGTAAGGTAGCCGCCATCTTTCTCCTCCGGTACTGCCTCAAAGCAACTGTCGTAAAGCGCTCTGTCACGCTCTTTGGTCGCGCTTTGAGGCCTTCTGGGAGCGAAGCTACTCCGAGGTTGACGGCAGAAGGGAAAAGAAAAGTACAGTACTGCATGGGGACGGTTCTTTTGCGACAGTGAGCACTTGATGGCAGCGTGGCAAGCAACAAACAAAACAAGAAAGTCAGCAAAACCCCCCCCCCAAAAAACCAAAAAAAACCCAAAAACCGTTCGGCACTTTGGGAGGCTGAGGCGGGCGGATCATGAGGTTAGGAGTTCAAGACCAGCCTGGCCAACATGGTGAAACTCCTTCTCTACTAAAAAATACAAAAATTAGCCGGGCGTGGTGGGGCGCGCCTGTAATCCCGGCTACTGGGGAGGCTGAGGCAGGAGAATCGCTTGAGCCTGGGAGGCGGAGGTTACAGTGAGCCGAGATCACGCCACTGCACTCCAGCCTGAGCGACAGAGCAAGACTGTCTCAAAACAAAAGCAAAAACAAAACAAAACAAAAAACAGTCCTAGTGGCTTGCGCCGTACCGATCTTATGGAGTTACAGTCCAAAGGGCCCACAAAATAAACCTGAGAGTCTTTGGGCTAAAGTGACCACACCATGTTTTCATTTCTTTTAGTTATATACTTAGGAGTATATGCTGGCAGAGGAATTTATGGGTTCTATGATAACTGTATGTTTAACATTTTGAGCAACCGACAAACTGTTTTCCACAGAAACTGCACCATTTTACATCCCTACAAGCCATGTGTGAGGGTTCCAATTTCTCCACATCCTCACCAACACTTGTTATTGTGCATTTTTTTAGTTATAGCCATTCCAGTGGGTGTGAAGTGGTACCCTGTGGTTTTCATTGGTATTTTTCTAATGATTAGTGATGCTGAGCATATTTCCATGAGATAATTGGCCATTTGTATGTCTTTTTTGATGCAATGTTTTTTCAAGTTCTTTGCACATTCTAAAATTGGGATATGTCTTTTGTTTAATATATTTTTGGGGTTTAATTTTTTTTTTTTGAGACGAGGGTGGGGTGTGTGTGTGGGGTGGGTTTGTCTTGCGGTGTTTCCCAGGCTGGAGTGCAGATGGGATCATGGTGCACTATATCAGCCTCGAACTCCTGGGCTCCAGTGATCCTCCCGCCTCAGCTTCTCAAGTAGCTGGGACTACAGGTGTGTGCCACTGAACCCAGCTCTATTTGTCTTTTTTTTTTTTTTTTTTTTTTTTTGAGACGGAGTCTCGCTCTGTCGCCCAGGCGGGACTGCGGACTGCAGTGGCGCAATCTCGGCTCACTGCAAGCTCCGCTTCCCGGGTTCACGCCATTCTCCTGCCTCAGCCTCCCGAGTAGCTGGGACTACAGGCGCCCGCCACCGCGCCCGGCTAATTTTTTTTGTATTTTTAGTAGAGACGGGGTTTCACCTTGTTAGCCAGGATGGTCTCGATCTCCTGACCTCATGATCCACCCGCCTCGGCCTCCCAAAGTGCTGGGATTACAGGCGTGAGCCACCGCGCCCGGCCTCTATTTGTCTTTTTATACTGGTGTGATCTCGGCTCACTGCAGCTTCCGCCTCCCGGGTTCCAGCAATTCTCTTGCCCCAGCCTCCCAAGTAGCTGGGATTACAGGCATGCGCCACCATGCCCGGCTAATTTTTGTATTTTTATTAAAGAGATGGGGTTTCGCCATGTTGGCCAGGCCGGTCTCGAACTCCTAACCTCAGGTGATCCTCCCGCCTCGGCCTCCGAAAGTGCTAGGATTACAGGCATGAGCCACTGTGCCTGGCTCTATTTGTCTTTTTATTGTTGAGTTGTAAGGGTCCTTTTTAATATTCTAGGTACTAGAAACATCAGATACATGATTTGAAAATATTTTCTCCCATTGGATTGTCTTTTCATGTCCTTCATTGGTGTTCTTTGAAGCATGAAAGTTTATAGTGCCAGCTCTTACATTTTTAGGTCTGTGGTCCATTTTGAGTTAATTTTTGTATGTGATGTGAAGTAGAAGTCCAAATCCATGCTTTTGCATATGGATAGTCAGTTAGTTGTTCCAGCACCATTTGTTGAAAAGACCTGCCGGGTGCAGTGGCTCACGCCTGTAATCCCAGCACTTTGGGAGGCTGAGGCAGGCGGATCACGAGGTCAGGAGACTGAGACCATCCTGGCTAACACGGTGAAACCCCTCTACTAAAAATACAAAAAAAAAATTAGCCGGGTGTAGTGGTGGGCGCCTATAGTCCCAGCTACTCGGGAGGCTGAGGCAGGAGAATGGTCTGAGACCAGGAGGCGGAGCTTGCAGTGAGCCGAGATCGGGCCGCTGCACTCCCAAGCCTGGGCAACAGAGCAAGACTCCGTCTCAAAAAAAAAAAAAAAAAAAAAAAGACTGTCTCCCCATTGAATGATCTTGGCACCCTTGTTAAAAATCATTGACCATACATGTATGGACTTACTTCTGGATTCTCAGTTTTGTTTCATTGATCTATATGTCTATCCTATGCCAGTATCATATTGTCTCTATTACTGTAGCTTTGTAGTACTTCTTTTCTTTTCTTTTCTTTTCTCCTTTTCTTTTCTTTCCTTCCTTCCTTCCTTCGTTCTTTCTTTTCTTTTCTTTCTTGACAGATCTTGCTCTGTCACCCAGGCTGGAGAACAGTGGCGTGATCTTGGCTCACTGCAACTTCCACCTCCCAGGTTCAAGCAGTTCTTTTGCCTCAGCCTCTGAAGTAGCTGCGACTACAGGCGCCTGCCACCACGCCAGGCTAATTTTTGTAATTTTAGTAGAGACGGGGTTTCACCATATTGGCCAGGCTGGTCTCAAACTCCTGACCTCGTGATCTGTCCGCCTCGGCCTCCCAAAGTGCTGGGATTACAGGCGTGAGCCACTGCGCCCGGCCCTTTAATTTCTTTTAACAGTGTTTATAATAGTTTTCAATATATAGGTCTTGCACTTCTTTGGTTAAATTTGTTCCCAAGTATTTTATTCTTTTTGATGCTGTTATAAGTGACATTGTCTTCTTAATTTCATTTTTGGATTGTTCATTGCTAGTACATAGAAATACAACTGATTTTGGTTTTGATCTTGTATTCTGCAACTTCATTGAACCATTTATTAGTTCTTTTTGTTTGTTTGTTTGTTTTGTTTTTGAGACAGTCTTACTCTGTTGCCCAGGCTGGAGTACAGTGGCGCAATCTCGGCTCACTGCAGTCTCCACCTCCCGGGCTCAAGCAGTTCTCCTGTGAGTGCCACCATGCCCAGCTAATTTTTGTATTTTTAGTAGAGATGGAGTTTCACCATGTTGGTCAGGCTGGTCTTGAACTCCTGACCTCGTGATCTGCCTGCCTCAGCCTCCCAGTGTTCGGATTACAGGCGTGAGCCACCGTGCCTGGCCATTTATTAGTTCTAAAAGTTTGTGTCTATATTCTTTAGGGTTTTTCTATATAAACCATCATATCATCTGCAAATAGAGATAATTTTATCTCTTCCTTTCCAATCTGGATGCTTTTTATTTCATTATCTTGCCCAGTTGCTCTGGCTAGTTACTTCAGCACAATGTTGAATAGATTGGCAAAAGCAGACATCTTTGTCTTGTTTCTCATTTTAGGGGAAAAGCTTAGGAGAAAGCTTAGGGAAAAGTCTTTCATCATTGAGAGTGCTGTTAGCCCTGGGTTTTTCACAGATGCCTAGGCAGGGGAAGTTCCCTTCTATTCCTAGTTTGTTGATTTTTTTTTTGTTTGTTGTTTTTTTCTTTTTTGTTTTTTGTTTTTTTGAGACAGAGTCTTGTGCTGTTGTCCAAGCTGGAGTGCAGTGGCACAATTTCGGCTCACTGCAGGCTCTGCCTCCCGGGTTCCAGTGATTCTCCTTCCAAAGTGTTGGGATTACAGGCACATGCCACCGTACCTGGCTAATTTTTGTACTTTTAGTAGAGACGGGGTTTCACCATGTTGGCCAGTCTCTACTAAAAATACAAAAATTAGCCTGGCATGGTGGTGTGCCTGTAGTCCCAGCTACTCGGGAGGCTGAGGCAGGAGAATCACTTGAACTCGGGAGGCAGAAGTTTCAGTGAGCCTAGATCGTGCCACTGCACTCCAGCCTGGGCAACAGAGCAAGAGTTGTTCTCAAAAAAAAAAAAAAAAAGGAATACAACATTGGTTCAACATATGAAAATTAATGCAATATACCATATTAATAAAGGAAAAATGGAAAATTATCTCAATAAACTCAGAAAAGCAGTTTAAAAATCCAACATTCTCTCGTAATAAAAAACAATCGTTGGCCAGGCGCGGTGGCTCACACCTATAATCCCAGCACTTTGGGAGGCGGAGGTGGGTGGATCACCTGAGGTCAGAAGTTCAAGACCAGCCTGGCCAACGTAGCAAAACCCCGTCTCTACTAAAAATACAAAAATTAGCTGGGAGTGGTGGTGGGATTACGCCTGTAATCCCAGCTACTCAGGAGGCTGAGGCAGAAGAATCACTTGAACCTGGGAGGTGGAGGTTGCAGTGAGGCGAGATTGCGCCACTGCACTCCAGCCTCAGTGACAATAGTGAAACTCCGTCTCAAAATAAGTAAATAAATAAAAAAAATAAAATACATTATAGGAGGGTGGGAGAGGGGGCACAAAAATAAAATAAAATACATTATAGGGAGGGAAAGGATGGACAGAGAAACAATGAGGAGGCTAGTGCAGTAATCTAGGATATAGTCTCCCTTCATAGTCAAAGGTACTAGGAGTGGAGAAAGTGGGCACTGCTCAGATTTTCACAGATTGGATGCTGATATGATGAAAGAGAAACAGAAGGGCTGGGGCTGGGCGCAGTGCCTCACACCTGTAATCCCTGCACTTTGGGAGGCCGAGGCGGGCGGATAACCTGAGGTCGGGAATTCAAGACCAGCCTGACCAACACGTAGACAGCCTGTCTCTACTAAAAATACAAAAAGTAGCCTGGTGTGGTGGTGCATGCCTGTAATCCCAGCTACTTGGGAGGCTGAGGCAGGAGAATTGCTTGAACCCGGGAGGTGGAGGTTGCGGTGAGCCAAGATCGCGCCATTGCACTCCAGCCTGGGTAACAAGAGAGAAACTCTGTCTCAGAAAAAAAAAAAAAAAAAAGAAAGAAAACCAAACCAAAACGAAAAAACAACCCAGAAGGGTCTGGATGACGAGGTTTTTGGTCTGAGGACCTGGAAGAATGAAGTGTCATTTGAGCCAGCAAAGACTATGAAGGGAGAATTTTCGTGGGGAGGGCGTGTTGGAGCTTAGTGTTGGACATGGTAGGTTTGCTATGCCTAGGTGACATCCAAGTGGAAATACCGAATAGGCAATCGTATATGTAGGATTCTGGAGTCCAGGAGAAAGTGGATTGAAGTTGTGATTTGGAAGTTATCAGTGTATGAAATGGCAAGATCTTTCATGTTCATTGTGGGAGTGGCCGTGGAGTCACTTGGCTGCACAGGGGTGAAGCTCAGGGACAAGTCTGGGCTGGAGACTCAGCGTGTGTTTGGCAACCGAAGCCACGGGAGTGACTACGATAGGCCGGGGGAGCGTGAGTCTCTCGGCTGCCGAGAACAGAGATGACACATCTTCTCACCTTCGTTTTTTATTTCCCTTAAGCGCCTGTCGTCATCACACAAAACGCCCTACGTCGACGCTGCCAAATATTGCTTTTTTATTCCTCACAGCTCCTCCCGTCTTTCCGAGACTGCGGACAGAGGGAGCTCAACGCCATTCCCTGCCGGGGGCGGCCCTCGCCGCGGCGACGTCACGGAAGAGGCGGGATACGGAGGCGGCCGCGGCGCGGGCTGCAGGACTGACCCCGGGCTGCGCGGCCCCACCCCGGGCGGTCCGCTCCGTTCCCGCCGGTCCCCGCAGCCGCCGTCTTAGGCCAGCTGGAGCAGGCCGCGCTCGGCCAGCAGGCTCTGGGTGCGGTTGTAGACATCCTCCAAGGTGCCGGCGGCCCGGACCAGCGCGGCCCGCGCCTCCGCCTCGGTGGCTCCGGGACACGCCAGCTCCAGCAGGCGGCGGCGACCCGGGAAGGCGAGGAAGGCGAGGCGGGCGGTCTGTCGGACCAGCCAGGGGTGATGCGGACCCAGGGCCGCACGGTAGGCGTCGCTGCACTGCACGCCCGCGTCCGGGCCTCCCAGCGCGCCGGTCGCCACCCGGTGGAGGCAGAGCTGGGACCAGCGCAGCGCGCGGTGCAGCAGGAGCAGCGTGCGAGAGCCCGAGCTCCGGGTCGGGTCCCGGGGGGCCGCCCCCGGCTGCTCCAGCAGTCCCGCCCTCCGCTCCCACGCCGCCATGGCCACCAGCGACCAGTAGTGCTCCGCGTCCGGGCCGTGCACCCGAGCCTCCAGGTCTGTCACCTTGGTGAAGGCCTCCCTAGTGGCGAAGGCGAAGACGGAGCCGAGGGGAGTCAGGAACCTGCGGGCGAGACGATTTGAGAGAATGGAGATGGAGCCGCCAAGGAGGCGGGGACCGGCTGGGGGGCGGGAGGCCACTCACTCGACGAGTGCCCTCCATCCCGCCAGGTACGGCGACAGCCCCACATCCCCTTCGGGTTTCAGACTGGCGTGGAACCGCCTCATCATGCGGCCCAGCATCCCCCGAGGGCCCAGACACGGAGGCTGTTTCCTCTCCGGGGCCTCCAGGGTTCCCGACTCCTGCCGGACCTGGTGGGGAGACACGATGGGAAGAGGTGGGAGCAGATTCTGCCCTGAAGAAATTGTTCCGAAGGTTTAGCTGGCGGCTCTTCTGCTGTGCGCTCAGCTTCCGACGGGAGAGGGTAGACCGGGGGAGGACCCGCCCTTTGCCGGACCCTCAGCCTGGCTCCACGTCCCCCTGTTCTGGTCCCTCCTGGAGCGCCCGCGCCCAATCCTGCGCCTAGCGTACCTGGAAGGGCGCCGTTTCCCCTGGAACGCAGGGCTGCGCCCTGGGTCCGCAGCCCGAGCGGGCGCCTGGGTAGAGGAGAAGCGGAGCGGTGAGGGCTCGAGAAAGAGGCTTGAGTCGTGAGGGCCTGGATTCCGGGCTTCCTCCCGGAGCAAGTGAGGGAAGGGGCAGCTCACCTAGGCTCCGAACACTGAGATAAAGCAGCAGCAGCGCGAAGATAGCGAGAGGAATTGAGTGGCTGAACCAGTGCCGCAGGGCTGGGGGCCGCGCCGCCACTCCCATGCCTGCTGCTGGGACCGCCGCCCCCTCACCAGCGCCTAGCCAGTCCGTGTCCCTCCGCCTCCAGGAGGGGACAGAAGCCCGTGGTGCCCTGAGGCGCAAAGGATTAATAATTAACCTACTAAGGCCCCTTCCCCTGTGCCCTTCGCCCCAAAGGGCAGCTACCCTGGGTGCGAGGAACTGGGTGAAGGGAATTTGGGGGATTCGACAGCAGTGACAGATCAGTGCATTTCCCTTCCCTGTAGGGCCAGCTGTAGCAAGAGGCACTCTGAGTATTGGGAAGAGAGGCAGGGCCCAGAACAGCTCCCCTACTGAGCAGTGGTGTGGGCCCTAAATTCACTCTGGGCTTGAGTTCCCTCCACTGTAAATTGAGGATAATAATAGGTACTTTGCAAGCCTCATGTGAGGATTAAATGATAACGTATGTGAAAACACTAAATGGAAAAGCTGACCACAATTGCCCTATAAATCTTATTAAGTTCAAGCATTGTCCGGCTCTGGGATCCAGGGAACACCCACTTCTCTCTCGCTCTCTTTTTTTTTTTGTTTGTTTTTTGTTTTTTTGTTTTTTGAGACAAAGTCTCGCTCTGTCGCCCAGGCTGGAAAGTGCCGGCTAATTTTTACATTTTTAGTAGAGACAGGGTTTCACCATACTGGACAGGCTGGTCTCGAACTCCTGACCTTGTGATCCGCCCAACTTGGCCTCCCAAAGTGCTGGGATTACAGGCGTAAACCACCGCGCCCAGCCGGGAACACCCACTTCTAAATTCTCTATCTTATTCCCAGGGGACTTTGTCTTGACCTGGATACATGACCTCTTGCAATCATATACGTACGTCAGGCTTTATCCTTTTGCATTTTTGTGGTTTAATTTTCAAAACTCCAGATTGGCTCTTCAATCATTCATTGCACCAACTTTTATTAAGTACTTCCGCACGTACTAGGCTTCAAGAATACAAAAGTGCCTTCACAGAGCTCAAGGTCCACTGGGGGAGAATTTATCCTCTGTCTCCCCCACTGGAATGTGACCTCTGATGACAGGGGCCTTGTTATTCTTGCTTACAGCAAGTGGAATATTGCTTAAGCCAAAACATATTATTGCTAAATAGGTATTGAATAAACAAAGGAGTGTGTATGAGGGGCAGGTAAATCTGGGGTTGTGGCCCCTAACAAATTTAGCCAGGCATTTTTAGGCCAGGCACGGTGGCTCACGCCTGTAATCCCAGCACTTTGGGAGGCCGAGGTGGGCGGATCACCTGAGGTCAGCCTGGCTAACATGGCAACACCCCGTCTCTACTAAAAATATACAAATTAGCCGGGCGTGGTGGCGAACGCCTATAATCCCAGCTACTCGGGAGGTTAAGGGAAGAGAATCGCTTGAACCCGGGAGGCAGAGGTTGCAGTGAGCCGAGATGGCGTCACTGCACTCCAACCTGGGCAACAGAGTGAGACTTCGTCTCAAAACAAACAAACAAACAAACAAACAAAAAACATACTTAGCCAGATTTTCTCGCTTTTTGTTTTGCAAATTAGGAGTCCATCTGGTGGTCACAGGGGGAAAGGCATTCCAGGAAAGGATATAAGGATACAGAAAGCAATGGAAGAAACAGCATGATCTTTTCTTAGGGGTTCTTAGTCTCCTGTCCCCAAACTTCTTAGAGTTATTCCTGTTGGACCGGGCGCGGTGGCTCATGCCTGTAATCCCAGCACTTTGGGAGGCCGAGGCAGGCGGATCACAAGGTCAAGAGATAGAGACCATCCTGGCCAACACGGTGAAACCCGGTCTCTACTAAAAATACAAAAATTAGCGGGGCGGCGTCTTGGCGCGCGCCTGTAGTCCCAGCTACTCGGGAGGCTGAGGCAGGAGAATCGCTTGAACCCAGGAGGTGGAGGTAGCAGTGAGCCGAGATCGCGCCACTGCGATGCCGCCACTGGGCGACAGAGTGAGACTTCGACTCAAAAAATAAAAATAAAAAAGAATTATTTCTGTTTGTATATGTCTTCTTCTAAGGTAGGGAGGAGTGTCCCGGATTCTCAAGGTGTTAGGGCCCTGAGCTCTCAGAAGACCTCTCAGAGGAGGAAGAGACTTCTGAGCTGACAGGAGTTTTCTCAGCTTCTCCAGTTCGAGGATTCTTGTCCTATCCTCACTCTGATGTCCCCTCACATCCTGGAGGTCTCTGGGTTGCTCTTGCCCCATCCCGTCACTGGTGGGACTCCCGGGAGGTCACTTCCATCCCTAGCCCTGGTCTCTGCTCTGTCTCCACTCTCACTGCTGGAATGTTTCCCAGCTTGCTTGGCTGTAAACCTAAGGCAAGTTGCTTGCCATTTTTGAGCCAGTTCCCTCATCTACAAAATAGGAAGGATAATTCTCACCCCCCAAAAATTGTTGTGAGGGTTAAACAAAATACTGCAAAGCGCTAACCATAATTCGTAGCCTATAGTAAATATTCAGTAGGTGATGGTTATTTTAATTCGCCCTCTCTCACTGCCCCTCCTACCCTAGCTCTGGGAGCCTCTGCCTCCGGGAGCAGGAAATAGGGTTCCGGGAGTGGATTAGTTTTGGGTTTCACTTAATCTGGGAGGCCCTTCCGCAATCGGAGCCCTCACAGAGGCCAAACTGATATAAATCTGCTTAGGAGGCCTGATTCACAGACGCTACAGGATGGAGCGGGGCGCAGGAGCCAAGCTGCTGCCGCTGCTGCTGCTTCTGCGGGCGACTGGTTTCACATGTGCACAGACAGATGGCCGGAACGGCTACACGGCGGTCATCGAAGTGACCAGCGGGGGTCCCTGGGGCGACTGGGCCTGGCCTGAGATGTGTCCCGATGGATTCTTCGCCAGCGGGTTCTCGCTCAAGGTTGGGGCTCAGGCGTAGGTCCTGGAGAGGGCGGAGATGCGTGGGACCATAGAGCCAAGGATGATAATTCCGTGACTCGCCCTTGCCCCTCTCCTCGATACCCAGGTGGAGCCTCCCCAAGGCATTCCTGGCGACGACACTGCACTGAATGGGATCAGGCTGCACTGCGCGCGCGGGAACGTCCTAGGCAATACGCACGTGGTAGAGTCCCAGTCTGGAAGGTGGGGCGCAGGGGTCGAGGATCCCTTGGGGTGATGGTATGTCCCTTACCCTCTATTACATACTCCGTCGCAACAGGCAGGCTGGCTCCGCCAGAGCTACGGGGCAGTATAGACCGGGGAGGCGAAGGGTGGATGGAAGACCCCTCCTCCGCTCCTCGGCGGAGGTCGGGGAGCACCCAGCCCACCAGGTCATATACACAGCACTTGGCTTGGAAAGTCTCAAGGGCTTGGTGAATGGGGGGCCCGCAGAGGCAACGCATCTCCCTTTGCCTTGCAGCTGGGGCGAATGGAGTGAGCCGCTGTGGTGTCGCGGCGGCGCCTACCTAGTGGCTTTCTCGCTTCGCGTGGAGGCACCCACGACCCTCGGTGACAACACAGCAGCGAACAACGTGCGCTTCCGCTGTTCAGACGGCGAGGAACTGCAGGGGCCTGGGCTGAGCTGGGGAGACTTTGGAGACTGGAGTGACCATTGCCCCAAGGGCGCGTGCGGCCTGCAGACCAAGATCCAGGGACCTAGAGGCCTCGGCGATGACACTGCGCTGAACGACGCGCGCTTATTCTGCTGCCGCAGTTGAACGGCGCCGCCGCCGCCGCTCTCTCCCGGGCCAGGAGGCTAGTCCCACCTCTTGCTATTAAAGCTTCTCTGAGTTGACTTTGGTCTCGCCTGTTTATTTCATTTATTTATTTATTAATTTATTTATTTGAGACGGAGTATCGCTCTGTCCCCCAGGCTGGAGTGCAGTGGCTCACTCGGCTCACTGCAAGCTCTGCCTCCCGGGTTCACGCCGTTCTCCTGCCTCAGCCTCCCGAGTAGCTGGGACTACAGGCGCCCGCCACTACGCCCGGCTAATTTTTTTTTTTTTTTTTTGTATTTTTAGTAGAGACGGGGTTTCACCGTGTTAGCCAGGATGGTCTCGATCTCCTGACCTCATGATCCGCCCACCTTGGCCTCCCAAAGTGCTGGGATTACAGGCGTGAGACACCATGCCCGGCTGGTCTCGCCTGTTTAAGGGATGGGGAACTGAGTCTCCTTTTCCCCTCCTAACTTAGCATTAGGTGAGGCATACATTTGGATTTGGTCTCAGGGGTCTATGGTAGATTGCTGAAAAGTTATGGACTCGAGAAAAACGCACTTAAACAGATAATTTTCAGACAAGTGATGGAAGTCTGGCTTTTTTTTTTTTTTTTTTTTTTGGAGTCTCACTCTGTCACTCAGGCTGGAGTGCAGTGGTATGATCTTGGCTCACTGCAACTTCCACCTCCTGGGTTCAAACGATTCTTCTGCCTCAGCCTCCTGAGTAGTTGGGACTACTGGTACCCACCACCATGCCCAGCTAATTTTTGTATTTTTAGTAGAGATGGAGTTTCCCCATGTTGGCCAAGCTGGTCTCAAACTCCTGACCTCAAGTGATCCACTGGCTTCAGCCTTCCAAAGTTTTGGGATTACCGGCTTGCACCATCGTGCGGGCCCAGGAAGTCTGGCTTTCTGAGAGAGTCTGCAGACACCCTGCCCCCATTAGGTGCCTAGGTTGTCTCCTTTCTGAACCAGTGACCTAAGATTAAGAAAATTCTACCAAATTATGGCCAGATGTGGTGGCTCACAGCTGTAATCTCAGCACTCTGGGAGGCTGAGGTGGGTGGATTGTTTAAGCTCAGCAGTTGGAGACCAGCCTGGGCAACATGGTGAAATCCCCTCTCTACAAAAAGTACAAAAATTAGCAGGGGTATGGTGGTGTGCGCCTGTAGTCCCAGCTACTCAGGAGGCAGAGGCAGGAGGATTGCTTTAGCCCAGGAGGTGGAGGCTGCAATGAGCCGAGATCGTGCCACTGCACTCCAGCCTGAGTGACAAAGTGAGACCCTGTCAAAAAAAGCAAAAAAAAAAAATTCTATCAAATTAGGAGGTGACAAGGCCACAATGGCTTTACAGTTCCATTTTCTAGAGCTTAAGAGGTTACAGTGTCTTTTCCATAGTTTTCATTATTTTCTCCTACAGAACTGATCCCTGTTTAGGATCTTTGTCCTTGCTGTTCTCTCTGCCTATAATCCCCCAAATATCCAGATGGTTAGCAAGCCTTCCTGATCTTAGCTCAAATTTCATTTTCTCAAATTTTCCCTGTCATAAAAGAGAGTCTCTCCATAAGTCAATATCAATCCCATTACCAACATGCTTTTAAAAAGTGCTTATCGGCCACGCACGGTGGCTCAAGCCTGTAATCCCAATACTTTGGGAGCCTGAAGTGGGAGGATTACTTTTGCTCAGGAGTTCGAGACCAGCCTGGGCAACCTCGTCTCTACAAAAAATACAAAAAAGTTAGCAAGGCATGGTGGCATATGCCTATGGTCCCAGCTACTTGGGAGGCTGAGACGGGAGGATTGCTTGAGCCCAGGAGGTGGAGGATGCAGTGAACCGAGATCGTACCACGGCCTTCCAGCCTGAGTGACAGCGAGACCCTGTCAAAAAAAAAAAAAAAAAGTGCTTATTACCTATTGAAATAATTTTTTGCTTCTTTTAAAAATTGCCTATCTTCCACTCTTGGAATGCCAAGTTCTTTGAGAGAATAAAACTTGTCTGTCTTGTTTACCGTCCTTATTTCCAGCGCAACCAAATAGCTCAGTATCTATTCGTTAAGAAAGTACAAGTGGGGTGCAGGGGCCCCAAAGGCCAGGTGTATCCGTAGCCTCTCGCACACTCCTCCTTACAGAAGGCACAATCTCAGACAGAGAAGAGAGCGCAAAGCAGTTTATTCTAGCGAGCAAGGGAGTGAGCGTCCAGGAAGGAGCAGGTGTAACCCGGCGGTCAGTGGAGCCTCAGTGAGGTGTGTCCTGCGGAAAAGAGAAGGTGAGAACGCAGCCAGGACCAGGCAGGTTCCCTCTACAACTCCACCGCAAGAAATTTCACCTGTTTTTTCCTGCAATCGCCGCAGAAGACACCAATGGTCGCGTTCACCAGCTGGATCCCACACAGTACTATCTCCAGGCAGGAGGCGGCCACCAGCAGCGAGAAGAGCGTCACATTCCAGGGGACCACGCGAGGGGGCGCCTCGCACCGATCCCATAGAGTGCGGTTGAGCAAGTAAGCTCCCCTGTGGGAGGGGTGAGGCCACGTGGGAGAAGGCAGCGTGCGCGTGCGCCACCCCGCCCCCAAGAATACGTCCCAGGGGATTTGCTAAGGCCCAGGTAGCCCACGTGGAGCGAGTGCCCTCGAAGTCGAGTCCCGCCCAGGTGTCCCAGTCCACGGGGGAAGGGCGGGAGGGAAGAGGCAGAGAATGGAGGACACGAATACAGGCTAAACCTTACGCGGTGTCTTCGAAGTGGTAGCCCCACTCGCCGTTCATTAAGCATCTGGGTCCATTTCGGAGCCCAGCTCCAGACACCGAGAGGCAGTAGATGGCACCAAGCACCCCGAACGCCGAGGAGAAGACCGAGCGCAGCATCTGGATGTGGTGTGGAAGGGGAGGTAAGGCCCAATCTCCCCACCTGTGGGTGACGACGCTCAGCGCCAGCCCCCACGCATTATCGAAATCTGCTCCAGTCGGGTTGTTAAAATGTATTTTTTAATGCCGGGCGCGGTGGCTCACCCCTGTAATCTCAGCACTTTGGGAGGCTGAGGCGGGTGGATCTCCTGAGGTCGAGAGTTCAAGACCAGCCTGGCCAACATGGAGAAACCTTGTCTTTACTGAAAATACAAAAATTAGCCGGGTGTGGTGGCACATGCCCGAGGCTGAGGCAGGAGAATAGCTTGAACATGGGAGGCGGAGGTTGCAATGAGCCGAGATCGCACCACTGCACTCCAGCCTGGGCGACAGAGCCAGACCCCGTCTCAAAAAGAAAAAAAAAAAAAAAAATTAGAAATTCGGACTCTGTTTCTGCACCTGTCCTTGCAGAACCACAGCACTCTCTATGGAATTCCTAGCTACACAAGCTCCTCTGCGGACTCCCAGGCCCCACCCCACCCTTCCCTGGCACCCACAAATCTCAGATCTCAATGATCCTGAGGGGTAGGCGGGTGAAGGGGAGAGGGGGGAACTACAACCCCAGTGAATCTCGGCGGCCGCTGGCTTTCAGGTTAGCCTAACTGCAAGCCCGGGGTTTGAAGGGAAATTTATTTTAAACCTGACTCGAGGCTGGGCACGATATCTCACACCTGTAATCCCAGCACTTTGGGAGGCCAAGGGGGGCAGATCGCCTGAGGCCAGGAGTTTCAGACCACTCTGGCCAACAGTGAAACCCCGTCTCTACTAAAAATATAAAAATTAGCTGGGTGTGGTGGCAGGCGCCTGTAATCCCAGCTACTTGGGAGGCTGGAAGAACAAGAATGGCTTGAACTAGGGAGGCGGAAGCTGCAGTGAGCCAAGATCGTGCCACTGTACTCCAGCCTGGGTGACAGACCAAGACTATGTCTAAAATAAATAAGATAAATAAATGTAAAATAAAATAAAAATACATTTTTTTTGAGGCGGAGTTTTGCTCTTGTTGCCCAGGCTGGAATGCAATGGCACAATCTTGGCTCACCGTAATCTCCTGCCTCAGCCTCCTGAGTAGCTGGGATTACAGGCGCCCACCACCACACCAGGCTAATTTCTGTATCTTTTCTTTTCTTTTTTTTGAGACAGAGTTTCACTCTTGTTGCCCAGGCTGGAGTGCAATGGTGTGATCTCGGCCCATTGCAACCTCTGCCTCCAGGGTTCAAGTGATTTTCCTGCCTCAGCCTCCTGAGTAGCTGGGATTACAGGTGCCCGCCACCACGCCTGGCTAATTTCTGTATCTTTTCTCTTCTTTTTTTTTTTTTTTTTTTTTTTTTAAATCACTGCTTACTGCAGCCTGGACCTCCTGGGCTCAAGCGGCCCTCCCACCTCAGCCTCCCAAGTAGCCGAGATTGCAGGTGCTTGCCACCACGCCCGGCTAATTTTTGTATTGTTAGTAGAGATAGGGATCTTGCCATGTTTCCTGGGCTGGTCTAGAACTCCTGGCTCAAGCCGTACTCCCACCTCAGCCTGCTAAAGTGTTGGGATTACAGGCATGAGACACCACCCCCAGCCCTGAATTCCTTCTTAATCTGGATCTTACCCTGCAGCGGTTTCCACAGCACCCAGCACCACAGCAGCCCTTGCCCCCTGCCCGAACGGCTGCAATCCCCGGACACAGTACCTGTGGGACAAGAGTCATTGTTATAGCACGTCCCCCCAGATCCTCCAGGCCTGACTTGCATCAGTGCCTACCTCCTTCAGGAAGCTGCCTGTGATGCCTTCAGCCCTTTGGACTGTAGAAGACCTTATCTCTACGTCTCCTGGAGCTGCTGGGCTTCACCTTACTTTATCCTTATTTACGTGCCTACCTTATCTCTGTCCAGATTGTGGCCTCTAGAGGGTAGGGCCCAATATCATTATTTTCCCCAATCTTGGCACATAGTAGGTGCCCTACTGAATGGAAATCAGGGAAACTACTTCACATGCTATGAATTGATTCATCTCTCAGGGTCTCAGTTTTGCCTGTATAAAATGGGTCTGGAAGATCTACCTCACAGGTCTGTTCTCAGGATTTAATGGGAGAACAAGCTGACTAGGTGTTAAGACTGGCTCAGAGGCCGGGCGCGGTGGTTCACGCCTGAAATCCCAGCATGTTGAGAGGCTGAGGCTGGTGGATCACCTGAGGTCGGAAGTTCAAGACCAGCCTGACCAACATGGAGAAACCCCAACTCTGCTAAAAATACAAAATTAGCCGGGCGTGGTGGCGCATGCCTATAATCTCAGCTACTCGGGGGGCTGAGGCAGGAGAATTACTTGAACCTGGGAGGTGGAGGTTGTGGTGAGCTGAGATCGTGCCACTGTACTCCAACCCGGGCAATAAGAGCGAAACTCCATCTCAAAAAAAAAAAAAAAAAAAGACCAGCTCAGAGTAACTCAATATTTATAAGTTCCCTCAGCAGCAGGAAGGGATAGAGGTGTTGGAGTGTCTGGTGAATTGGGATTACAGTAGAGTGTGGAAGAGTGCTAGTGGATGGTCTGATATGGAGTGTAGCATTTTCCAAGATTCAAGCCTTGGTCTTTTTTTCTCCCTGTGGCTTTCCTAACAATGCCCATCCCCTTTCAGGGAATCAGCTCTTCACTCTGCCAGAAGTTGCCTCCAAAACTGATGCCTCCAGATCCTATGTTCACTTGAATATCTTGGTTTTAGCTCAAATTCAACCAGCCTCACGCTCATCTCACAATATTCCTCAAATTCATCTCCCTTTGACTTTCTTGTCTCCATCAGTGGAAAAAATAACATCTACTAGGTCAGCCAGGCTGGAAAGCTTTAATCTTGCACCCAGAAAGACATCAAATTTTCTCAACTTTTACTTAAGTGGCTCCTGAATCTGTGAGTTCCTCCCCACATTGAATCCCTCATCACCTCCCATGAGGGTGTTCTCAGCCTCCCTATTACACTCTCATAGCTCTTGCCCCATGCCACCCTACACTCTATCCTCTATCAGGTTAAACATAGCTTTTTTTTTTCTTTCTTTCTTTTTGAAACAGGGTCTCACTCTGCCACCCAGGCTGGAATGCAGTGGCTTGATCGTGGCTGACTTTAGCCTTGACCTCCTGGGCTCAAGTGATCCTCCTGCCTCAGCCTCCTGAGTAGCTGGTATCGCAGGCATGCGTCATCATTCCCAGCTAATTAAAAAAAATTTTGTAGACATGGGGTCTTGCTATTTGCTCAGGCTGGTCTTGAACTCCTGGGCTCCTCCTGCCCTGGCCTACCAAATTGCTGGGATTACAGGTGTAAGTCACTGCATCTGGCCTAAACATAGCTTTCAACTGGTCTTTTCTCTGCTCAAATCCTTTAGGGTCTCTTCACAGAGAAGCCCATCAAGACTGAACTCTTTTTTTTTTTTTTTTTTTGAGACGGAGTCTCACTCTGTCACCAGGTTGGAGTACAGTGGTGTGATCTTGGCTCACTGCAACCTCCACCTCCCAGGTTCAAGTGATTCTCCTGCCTCAGCCTCCTGAGTAGCTGGGACTACATGCACATGCCACCACGCCGGGCTAATTTTTTGTATTTTTAGTAGAGACGGGGTTTCATCATGTTGGCCAGAATGGTCTTGATCTCCTGACCTCGTGATCCGCCTGCCTCAGCCTCCCAAAGTGCTGGGATTACAAGCGTGAGCCACCGCGCCTGGCCAAGACTTGTAACTTGAACGCCTAACTCTTGTAAGGCATTTAAGCCTCCTCATCTGGCTCCGTTACCTTTATCTTCGTTGCACCAGGTCAGGTTCTTTGCCTGTCTCCTATCTCTGGAATTCCACAGCTGTCTTGCTTCTTGCTTTCGTGTGTGTGTGTGTTTGCTTTTTGAGACAGGATCTCACTCTGTCATCCAGGCTGGAATGCAGTGGTGCAATCATGGCTCACTGCATCCTCAACCTCCTGGGCTCAAATGATCTTCTCACCTCGGCCTCCCGAGTAGCTGGGACTAAAGGTGCGGAACAACATGCCTGGCTAATTTTTTTGGAGAGTTCATGTCTTACCATGTTGCCTAGCTGATCTCGAACTCCTGGGCTCAAGCAATCCTCCTGCTTCAGCCTCCCAAATTGCTGGGATTACAGGCATGAGCCACTGTGCCTGGCTCCTCATGTGTCTTATCTGGCACATACCATCCAAGGCAGCATTTTGTGCTTCTCCAGGGAAAGGGCTGAGAGTTTCAGTTCTATTATATCATCCCCAGCAACCTCAGAGAAACACCTGCTCTCTCTTCTTCCTGTCTCATGGCAGGGCCAGGACCCATGCTGACACCTTACTTTACCTCCCTGGTTAGGTCACTTACTGGAGGCTTGTGGATCCAAACACACCTAGAATTGCCTTTTGGATTTACCAATTTTGAATGATCTACTTGTCTGAGGTTTCTGCTTTTGTTTGAGAGAGGGTCTCACACTGTTGCCCAGACTGGAGTGCAGTGGCATGATCATGGCTCACTGCAGCCTCGACCTCCTGGGCTCAAGTGATCCTCTCACCTTAGCATTAGAGTAGCTGGGATTACAGGCTTGTACCACCACACTCAGCTAATTTTTTCTTTTTTGAGACGAAGTTTTGCTCTTGTTGCCCAGGCTGGAGTGCAATGGCGCGATCTTGGCTCGCTGTAACCTCTGCCTCCCGTGTTCAGGTGATTCTCCTGCCTCAGCCTCCCGAGTAGCTGGGATTACATGCATGCGCCACCACGCCCTGCTAACTTTGTATTTTTAGTAGAGACAAAGTTTCTCCATGTTGGTCAGGCTGGTCTCAAACTCCTGACCTCAGCTGATCAGCCTGCTTCGGCCTCCCAAAGTGCTGGGATTACAGGTGTGAGCCACCGCACCTGGCCAGACCCAGCTAATTTTAAAATTTTTGTTGAGATAGAGTCTCACTATGTTGCCCAGGCTGGTCTTGAATGCTGGGACTCAAGCGATTCTCCTGCCTCCACCTCCCAAAGTGTTGGGATTTTACAGGCATGAGCCACCACACCTGGCCCTATTTGAGATTTTTACTCTTTTGATTAAAGTGTTTGCTTCCCTTTGTAGTATGTGCTTCTCTGTCTCATTCTTCACCATCTTTTTGTCTTAGTGAAAAGTGTCATCATAAATGAAGAAGAAAACACTGTGCTTATAGCCTGAATCAGCTCATATTTCTCCATTTCCATAGCCACTGGCCTAGTCCAAGCCACTCTCATCTCTCCTGGATGTCTTCCGTGACCTCAGTTTGGTCTTTTCTTTTTCTTTTTTTTTTTTTTTGAGATGGAGTCTTGCTCTGTCACCCAGGCTGGATTGCAGTGGCATGATCTCGGCTCACTGTAACCTCTGTCTGCTGGGTTCAGGAGATTCTCCTGCCTCAGCCTTCCGAGTAGCTGGGATTACAGGCATGCACCACCATGCCCTGCTAACTTTGTATTTTTAGTAGAGACGGGGTTTCGCCATGTTGGTCAGGCTGGTCTCGAACTCCTGACCTCATGATCCGCTGGCCTCGGCCTCCAAAAGTGCTGGGATTACAGGCTTGAGGCCCCACGCCCAGCTCAGTTTGGTCTTTTTCTGTATATATTGCAGACCTTCTACTACCCATTCTCCACACAGTGGTCAAAGGAGTCTTCTTCATTCCAGTGGCGTGTGGAGCAACCAGACCTCTCACACTAAGAACTACAGAAAACTGGCAATATCTATTAGCGCTGAATACTTGCATGTCTTAAGAATCAGCAGTTTTACTGCTAGGTTTTTATCCAATAGAAATGCACACGTATTTGTACCTAAATACATCTACAAGAATATTTATAGCAGCATTATTTGCAAAAAAACCAAACTGGGAATGATCCAGATCTCCTTCAACAGTAGAATGGGCCGGGCACAGTGGCTTATGCCTGTAATCCCAGTACTCTGGGAGGCCGAGGCAGGCGGATCACCTAAGGTTGGGAGTTCAAAACCAGCCTGACCAATATCGCGAAACCCCGTCTCTACTAAAAATACAAAAATTAACTGGGCACGGTGGCACATGCCTGTAATCCCAGCTACTCAGGAGGCTGAGGCAGGAGAATCATGTGAACCTGGGAGTCAGAGGTTGCAGTGAGCCGAGATGGCGCCATTGTACTCCAGCCTGGGTGACAGAGCGAGACTCTGTTTCAAAAAAAACAAAAAAGCAAAAAAGCAAAAAAACAAACAAACAAACAGTAGAATGTATAAATGAGGTATAGTCACATAATAGAATGTATAAGAAAAAAAGAAAACTACAGCTACACCTGATAATATGGGTGGCTCTCACAAACGTAATATGGAGCTAAAGAAGCCAGACACAGGCCAGGCGCGGTGGCTCACGCTCGTAATCCCAGCACTTGGGGAGGCCGAGGTGGGTGGATCACCTGAGGTCGGGAGTGCGAGACCAGCCTGACCAACATGGCGAAACCCCCATCTCTACTAAAGTAAATACAAAAATTAGCCAGGCGTGGTGGCTCATGCCTGTAACCCCAGCTACTCTGGAGGCTGAGGCATGAGAATCATTTGAACCTGGGAGGCGGAGGTTGCAGTGAGCTGAGATAGCGCCACTGCACTCCAGCCTGGGCAACAGCTCCGTCTCAAAAAAAAGCCAGACACATACTCTATCATTCCATTTGTGTAAAGTGCAAAATAAGCCAAACTCGTCTATGGGGTTAGAAGACAGAATAGTGGTTACGCTTGTTGGTGAAGTGATTCTGGGGTTCCGTGTGTGGTGAGAAGCATGTCTGGGCTTCTGGTAATGATCTGTTTCTTGACCTGGGCTCAGATGTGCTCACTTTGTAAAAGTTTGTTGAGCTGTGTACTAAGGATCTGGGTACTTGTCTGTGTGACTTAAATAAAAAGTTTTAAACCGTCAAAAAACAAAGTGCCAAAAGTCCTTCAATAGGGCATGGCGCGGTGGCTCACTCCTGTAATCCCAGCACTTTAGGAGGCCGAGGCGGGTGGATCACAAGGTCAGGAGATCGAGACCATCCTGGCTAACACGGTGAAACCCCATCTCTACTAAAAATACAAAAAAAAAAAATTTGCTGTGCGTGGTGGCGGGCGCCTGTAGTCCCAGCTACTCGGGAGGCTGAGGCAGGAGAATGGCGTGAACCCAAGAGGTGGAGCTTGTAGTGAACCGAGATCGCACCACTGCACTGCAGCCCGGGCGACACAGTGAGATTCCGTCTCAAAAAAAAAAAAAAGTCCTTCAATAGTTTTCTGTTGTACTTATAATAATAAAAATTCAAATGACTCCACTGTGGCTTTTCAGGGTGTTCCAGGCCTAGCCTCTGCCCTCCTCAGACCTCATCTCATTACATCTCACCTCACCGGCCACCTGTCTGATCCTCAGAAGTGTAGAGCTTGTTCCCACCTTAGGCTTTGTACTACCAGCCCCTAGTGTCTGCAACACTCACACCTTCTTCTTGTCATTTGGGTCTCAGTTCAGACATCACCTCATAGAGCCTGTCCCTGAAAATCCTATAAAAAGTGGCATCTGCTTTGCCTAGGAGCTCTTCATGCCAGCACCATTTCATTTTATTTTTATTTTTTACTTTTGAGACAGAGTTTCACTCTTGTTGCCCAGGCTGGAGTACAATGGTGCAATCTTGGTTCACTGCAACCTCCGCCTCTCGGGTTCAAGCAATTCTCCTGCCTCAGCTTCCTGAGTAGCTGGGACTACAGGCATGCGCCACCACGCCTGGCTAATTTTTGTATTTTTAGTAGAGACAGGATTTCTGCATGTTGGTCAGGCTGGTCGTGAACTCCTGACCTCGGTGATCCGCCTGCCTCAGCCTCCCAAAGTGCTGGGATTACAGGCATGAGCCACTGCGCCCGGCCGATGGTACCTACTTCTATCTGAAATTGCCTTGCCTAGTTCTATACTTCATTCAATGACTTTTTTATTTTTTATTTTCTTGAGACAAGGTCTTGCTCTGTTGCCCAGGCTGGAGTGCAGTGGCGCGTGGTCATAGCTCACTGCAATCTTTCATTTCTGGGCCCAAACTAGGACTACAGGCACACGCTGCCATTCCATGACTATTAATTGGGTGTCTGTTTAGTGCAAGGTGCTGGTCTAGCACTGGGTACATAGTGGCCAACAAAGCAGGCAGTGCTTGCTCTCGTGGGACTTCCAGCCTTGCTTCCGTGAGACTGGTGGCCTTACCAAAGGGAACACAAGCTTCAGGGAGAGCAGGAACCTGTCTGTGTCCCTGTGATATACAGCAGTGCTTATTTATTTGTTTATTTATGTATGAGATGGAGTCTTGCTCTGTCGCCCAGGCTGGAGCACAATGGCGCAATCTCGCCTCACTGCAACCTCTGCCTCCCGGGTTCTCCTGCCTCAGTCTCCCGAGTAGCTGGGATTACAGGCGCCCGCCACTATGCCTGGCTAATTTTTGTATATTTCTTTAAGTAGAGACGGGGTTTCACCATGTTGGCCAGGCTGGTCTTGAACTCCTGACCTCAGGTGATTGGCCCGCCTCGGCCTCCCAAAGTGTTGGGATTACAGGCGTAAGCCACCATGCCCACCGGGTGGTGCTTCTTGAGAGTGACTCTGGGCACAGAGGTGGAGGGAAGGCAGCTGTGAATGCATATTTGGGGAAGGCAGACTCAGGGAGCTCCGCTGAAGCAAGCTGGTTAGATGGGGCAGAGGAGTGTGGGGAGACAGGGGTGGTTCAGGTTGCAGAGGGAGCACCCCGTGACAATGGCTAAGTGTGTCAGCCTGAGAGGAGTGTGACTCTCAAAGAGAGTTGAGTTTAGAGCGATAGAGTAGAGTACAGCAGCCAAGAATCCATGCAGGAGGAGGGAGTAGAAGAAAAGATACTAGAGAGTAAGAGGGGATTGTTGGTTAAAGGAGAGGTATCCTCTTTTAGCAAATAGAGGTGTGACCAGCGAGGTGTGACCAGCAAAAGGGACCAAGGGGAGCTCTCCCCTGGAGAATGTCATTAGCCAACTGTCCTGAGAAGTGGGGAACTGTGCTGGGTAGATCTTTTGTCTTTATCGCATGAAGATATTAAACGAGGTTGACCATCCCAAAGTTTCCCTGAATGGGTGGAGAGTTGGAAGATGGGGGTTAGTAAATTGGGGAAATCTGTGTCTCCTTTTCCTCCACTTCTGACAGATCCTAGTCTTGGCCAGGCGTGGTGGCTCACATCTATAATTCTAGCACTTTGGGAGGCTGAGGCAGGAGGATCACTTGAATCCAGGAGTTTGAGACCAGTCTGGGCAACACAGAGATACTCCGTCTCTACAAAAAATGTAAGCTGGGGCGGTGGCTCACATCTGTAATCCCAGCACTTTGGGAGGCCGAGGGGGGCGGATCACCTGAGGTCAGGAGTTCGAGACCAGCCTAGCCAACGTGGCGAAACCCTGTCTCTACTGAAAATGCAAAAATTAGCTGGGTGTGGTGGCACGTGACCGTAATCCCAGCTACTCAGGAGGCTGAGGCAGGAGAATTGCTTAAACCCAGGAGACAGAGGTTGCAGTGAACGGAGATGGCGCCACTGCACTCCAGCCTGGGCGACAGAGCGAGACTCCGTCTCAAAAAAATAATAATAATAAAAATAAATAAAATATTTAAAAGTTAGCTGGGTGTGGTGATGCCCACCTGTGGTTCCAGCTGCTCGGAGGCTGAGGTGGGAGGACTGCTTGGGCCCAGGAGGTTGGGGCTACAGTGAGCCATGTTCGCACCACCACACTCCAGCCTGGGCAACAGAGAGAGACCCTGTCTCAAAAAAAAAAAAAAACAAAAAACAAACACAAAAACCAACCCCCACCTCCGCCCCTGGCAAATAGATTCTCATCTCCCGGAAGACGACTTGAGGGCATCCTCCCTGCCATACTGACCTAAGTTCTGAGTTTATCCTTAGCAGTCCGCACAGATTGGGCTTCCAGAAATGTGGGGTGAGAGTGAATGGACGTGGAGGCAAGCGAGGGTGACTGATCCGTGAGGGCAGTCCCTGGCTCTGGGTAATTTCACTGCGCCCCACCCTCATGCCTGTTATTATCCTGCCCCGATGACGTCTCTGACAACCAGCTGCTCCTTCTGCCTCGACCATTGTAGTGAGGTTTTCCCAGCATCTGCTCAACAGTGGGGACAGGGAGGACAGGCAGGACATGCTCCCTACCCGGTAGGGGAGCTCTTTAGAGCAGTGAGGCTCTCGTCCTTTCTGTGCCCCACAGACATTCAGCTTGGGACCCTGGGGCTCCTCCAGGACTGACTCCAGAGGGCTGCTAGCCCCCACGAAGCCATTGCCATCCTCTCCCAAGCAACCATTCTTATTCCTCTCTCCCTCTCCCTCCTGTTCAGAACCCCTTAGGTGGCACCCAGCCAGCTGGCCCGGGCTCCCCTGCCAGCCTTCTCACCATTAGGCCCCCGCCAATGAAGCCGCCCATGAGCCAGACTTGCAAGCTGAGATGGTTGGTGTTGGTCCAGGAGGTCTCCCCATTAGGTACCAGCAGGAGGGCGTTGGCCACAATGCAGACGAGGCAGAGGGTAATGAGGGAGAGCCCCACACAGCGGGCACATTTTCCCGTACACATGGTGAGGTGTCAGGAAGGACAGGCGGTGAGTGAAAGTAAGCCAGTGGTTCCCAGGTCCAGAGGAAAACAAGCCTGGAGCACGGAGCAAAGTTCAGACAGAGGCGTGGCAGAAACTGGCAGGATCAGAATGATAAGGGAGAGAGGCACAGGATGTGGGCCCTGAGGAGGCAGAGGCGGAGGAGCTGCAGCCCTGAGGTGAAGGGAGGATGTGGTGCTGGACAAGGTGGGGGCTATGGACACATTACCCTGGGTTAGTGCCTTCCTGTTTTTTCTGCACAGCTCCACAGCCCCTCTGTTGGTTCCATACCTGCTTTGCAACTTAGCCAAGCCCCTTCATGTCTCTTAAGTCTCAGTTGCCACTTGTGTCTGGGCACGGTGGCTCACACCTGTAATCCCAGCACTTTGGGAGGCCGAGGAGGGTGGATCACCTGAGGTCAGGAGTTTGAGACCAGCCTGGCCAACGTGGTGAAACCCCGTCACTACTAAAAATGCAAAAGTTATCTGTGCATGGTGGCGGGCACCTGTAATCCCAGCTATTCGAGAGGCTGAAGCAGGAGGATCACTTGAACCTGGAAGGTGGAGGTTGCAGTGAGCTGAGATTGTGCCATTGCACTCCAGCCTGGGTGACAAGAGTGAAACTCTGTCTCGAAAAATAAATAAATAAGTAAATAAAGTGACAAGAATGAAACTCTGTCTCAAAAAGTAAATAAATAAATAAATAAATAAATAGATAAATAAATAAGTGATGCCACTTGCCTTGTGGGCTACTTGTGAGGATTAAATGGGACAACCTGAGAAGTATTTTGTAAACTAGGAAGCACAGAGCAGATGTGTGGTGGCCTCTTCGTTTCTGCCAGCCTCTCAGGCAGCATTCTTCCCAGGGAGAAATTAAAGAGGTGATTGTGGGCTCTTATTGTCCTTGCATTTCGTCTTCCTGGTATTTGATTATTGATGTCTCCTCCTCTTGAGGCCACTGCCTGTCTCTCAGGGTGGGCTCGGGACCTAGGCCTCATTGATGAGAGCGTTCTATCCTGCTAGCCTCGGTGTTTGATTTAGCAACAGCCATGCGATCTGAGCCAACTCTGTGAGAATCAGCTTCTGCCATTTTTCCATTCTGAGGTCAAAGAAGTTCTGTTTTTGTTGGGGTGCTGCAGTTTCCTTGATAACTTCTTTTTTTTTTGAGACGGAGTCTCACTCTGCCGCCCAGGCTGGAGAGCAGTGGCGTGATCTTGGCTCACTGCAACCTCCGCCTCCTGGGTTCAAGCGATTCTCCTGCCTCAGCCTCCCAAGTAGCTGGGATTACAGGCGCCCACCACCACACCCAGCTAATTTTTGTATTTTTAGTAGAGACGGGGTTTCACCATGTTGGCCAGGCTGGTCTCAAACTCCTCACCTCAAATGATCCACCTGCCTCAGCCTCCCAAAGTGCTGGGATTACAAGCATGAGCCAAGCCACCCAGTCGACTTCTTTTTTTTTTAATTAAAAAAATGTTTTTGAGACCAGGGTCTCCCTTTGTTGCCCAGGCTGGTGTGGAGTGGATCATGGCTCCCTGCAGCCCTGACCACCTGGGCTCAAGTGATCCTCCCACCTCAGCCTCCCGAGTAGCTAGGACTATAGGTGTGTGCCACCACACCTGGCTAATGGTTTTTTGTTGTTTTTTTTTTGAGATGGAGTCTTGCTCTGTCACCCAGGCTGGAGTTTAGTGGTGTGATCTCGGCTCACTGCAACCTCTGCCTCCTGGGTCTCAGAAGCAAACAGGAGAGTGAAGGCCCCCACAGAATGAGCCCTAGCTCAAGTAGGATGTGGGAGTGCCATGAAGAGATGAGGGTAGCAGGAAGGGCTGCAGGGCTTCAGAGGGTATGCAATGAGGCTGTCACCTGGAAAGTGTCACCAGCCAGTGGCCCCTGATGCAGCCCCTCCTTGCGGCCCACTCAGACCACTACAGAAATGTGGAAAATGGAGAAAAGCCAGAATCTCTGCTATTTATAAGACAGAGGAACTGGATTGAGAAAAATACATGGAGAATTTACCTCTTGAATCAGAGGATGCCTGAAAAAGAAAATACTTTGAACCTCCCCAACTATTTGTCTCTGACTCATAGGTAATTATGATGACTGATACATTTGGTTTTGCTTCTGTTGGCATGTTTAATGCTTTAAACAACATTTCCATATTGCTTCTGATGTTTTCTGTTCCTCTTCTTTTTTGTTTTTTGAGACAGAGTTTTGCTCTTGTTGCCCAGGCTGGAGTGCAGTGGTGCGATCATGGCTCACTGCAACCTCCACCTCCCAAGTTCAAGCAATTCTCCTGCCTCAGCCTCCCGAGTAGCTGGGATTATAGGCATGCGACACCACGCCCAGCTAATTTTGTATTTTTAGTAGAGACGGGGTTTCTCCATGTTGGCCAGGCTAGTCTCGAACTCCCGACCTCAGATGATCCCCGCCTCGGCCTCCGAAAACGCTGGGATTACAGGCATGAACCACTGCGCCCAGCCTCTGTCCCTTTTCTTTAAAGATTTTACATTATCCTTTTTTTTTTTTTTTTGAGACAGGGTCTCTGTCACTCAGACTAGAGTGCCATGGTAAGATAATCATGGCTCGCTGCAGCTATGACCTCCTAGCTCAAGCTGTCTTCCCACTTCAGCTTCCTTAGTAGCCAGGATTACAGGCCCACACCACCACACTCAACTAATTTAAAAAATTTCTTTTGGCCGGGCGCAGTAGCTCACGCCTGTAATCCCAGCACTTTGGGAGGACAAGGTGGGCAGATCATGAGGTCAGGAGATCGAGACCATCCTGGCTACCGTGGTGAAACCCTGTCTCTACTAAAAATACAAAAAAAATTAGCTGGGTGTGGTGGCAGGCACCTGTAATCCCAGCTAGTCGGGAGGCTGAGGCAGGAGAATTGCTTGAACCCGGGAGATGGAGGTTGCAGTGAGCCGAGATTGCACCACTGGACTCCAGCCTGGGTGACAGAGGAAGACTCCATCTAGAAAAAAAAAAAAAAGATACAAGGAAAAGGGTCACATTGGATCCCACCCTAGATCACCTGACCCCCAGCCAACTCCTATGTGTGTATCAGTGAAATAAATGCTTATATTTATTTGACACTAAGACTTCGTCGAGGGGGATGGTTTGTTGCCCAGTAACAAGTTCCTAACACAGACCCCCTTATCTAGGCCAGGGCTGGTTGATTGAGGAACAAGTAGCTGACCCAAAGGCAGACATGTAGCCAGCGACCTGTGAGGTCTCTCGAGGTGAGAACTCCATCCAACAGAGGTACACTGACTGGATAATGACCAATCCACCGACTGGATCTTCATGATTGGGAAATGTGTCTGTGAGACAAGCTGAGACAGTCATCAGAGAGTGGGGTGGCTTCAAACTGAGAGTTGTATGCAAGAAAGAAGCAATCAAAAGCCAGAGGCAACTGACACCAGAAATAAGCAGAAGTCACAGCAAGAGAAGTGTATGGAGAATAGTTACTCTGAAACAGCGCCAGAGGGAGAAGCACAGGCACTGGAAAACTCTGGTTCCTCAGGAGGTGGCCGATGAGAGGTTGTCACCAGCACTAATGTTGAACTACCAGAGCAACTGTCATATCCCGAATAGTGGCCCTTCCAACCGTGGACCTGAAGAGGGGATTCAGCCATTGATCTGATGGACAGAGAGCAGGGCCAAGAGCTGGCCACCTATTTGTCTACAAGTTGCTCAAGCTGATTCTGAGAGATGGTGCCTCTTTTTTATTTTTTTTTAAACAGAGTTTCACTCTTATTGCCCAGGCTGCAGTGCAGTGGCGTGATCTCGGCTCACCGCCACCTCCGCCTCCCGGGTTCAGGAGACTCAAGTAGTTGGGATTACAGGTGCCCGCCACCACGCTTGGCTCATTTTTGTATTTTTTGTGGAGATGAAGACAGGGTTTCTCCATGTTGGCCAGGCTGCTCTCGAACTCCTGATCTCAGGTGATCCACCCACCTCGGTCTCCCAAAATGCTGGGATTACAGGTGTGAGCCACTGCGGCCAGCCAAATGGTGTCTGTTTTGAGGATGAATAAAGAGAAAAAAAATAGTTGTGTGGGTGGGGTGGTCCACAGGCATTCATTACATTATTTTTATACAATTCTGGATGAATGAAATAATGTTAATAATGTTAACAAAACATTATAGGGATTCTGAAAAATTTTCTCAAAACCAGGGAAGGGCAAATCAACCTGAAGACTGAAAGAAACAGAATCCTCTGGAGGAACATTTACTATAGGATTTGGAAGAGATTTCCAGGAAGATTTTTGATGACATCACTAGAATTCTCCTGGAACTAGGAACAGAATAACTTAAGAAAGAAAAGGCTGGCCGGGCGCGGTGGCTCACGCCTGTAATCCCAGCACTTTGGGAGGCCAAGCTCGGTGAATCACCTGAGGTCAGGAGTTTGAGACCAGCCTGGCCAACATGGCGAAACCCCATCTTCACAAAAAATACAAAAATTAGACAAGTGTGATGGCAGGCACCTGTAATCCCAGCTACTCAGGAGGCTGAGGCAGGAGAATCGCTTGAACCCGGGAGGTGGGGGTTGCAGTGAGCCGAGATCGCACCATTGCACCCCAGTATGGGCAACAGAGCAAGACTCCATCTCAAAAAAAAAAAAAAAAAAAAGGTCCAGGCTCAGTGGGTCACGCTTGTAATCCCAGCACTTTGGGAGGCCGAGGCGGGCAGATCACCTGAGGTCAGGAATTCGAGACCAGCCTGACCAACATGGGGAAACCCCGTCTCTACTAAAAATACAAAAATTAGCTGGGCATGGTGGCGGGTGCCTGTAATCCCCGCTACTCAGGAGGTTTAGGCAGGAGAATCGCTTGAACCCGGGAGGTGGAGATTGCAGTGAGCCAAGATCACGCCATTGCGCTTCAGCCTGGGTGACAGAGTGAGACTCTGGCTCAAAAAAAAAAAAAAAAAAATTCAGGAAACTGGCTTCTCCTAAGAACAAGAATAGAACTGGTGGAAGTGACACCACAGTTAAAACATCTGCACTAGGAGAAGACGTCACTGAGCGCAGATAGATCCACTCAGGTCAGTGGGTTGAAAGTTATACTGCACGGCAGGTAAAATATTAAAAGTCAGCTGACCATAGATTCATCCTGACAAAATATCTGAATTAAAGGATACATCTAGGCAGAATTTAAAAAGGCTACTTAGAAAGAAACAATAGTTGGTGTGGCCAGAGTCTTCTCTGAAATACTGAATGTCAGAGGACAAAGGAGTAAGGCAGCTGTGTCCACCAAAAAAGGTAGAACTATCATATACATGTCTAAGTTGCATTTTGTATGTTAAGGGCAACACAATTGCATTTCTGAGAATGTTTGGATTTCAAAATAACACTTTGGCTCCTTTTTTTTAGAGAAATTGTGTTGACTCACCAAGAGATGAAGTAAAATAAAAACCCCAAAATGGGGAAGTCTTGACGTAAGTCTAAATAAATTTCATATATCTGGTTACAAAACTGGATGCACATTTTGGAAAAAAATATTTTTCTTCTCTTTTGTTTTGAGTCAGAGTCTTGCTCTGTCATGCAGGCTGGAGTGCAGTGGCGTCATCTTGACTCTGCAACCTCAGCCTTCTGAGTTCAAGCGATTCTCCTGCCTTAGCCCCCCAAGTAGCTGGGATTACAAGCATGGGCCACCAGGCCTGGCTAATTTTTATATTTTTAGTAGAGACTAAGTTTCACCATGTTGGAGGGTGGTCTTGAACTCCTGACCTCAAGTGATCCACCTGTCTTGGCCTCCCAAAGTGCTGGGATTACAGGTATGAGCCACCACAACCCGGCCAGAGCCATTGTGCCCAGTCTCATTTTTTTTTAAAGACAGTGTCTCACTCTGTTGTCCAGACTGGTGTGCAGTGGCATGATCTTGGCTCACTGCAAACTCTATCTCCTGGGCTCAAGTGATCGTCCTGCCTCAGCCTGCCAAGTAACTGGGACTACAGATGTTCACCACCCACCATGCTTGTCTAATCTTTTTGTGTGTATATATGTAAATATATATATATATATTTTTTTTGAGACAGAGTTTCACTCTTGTTGCCCAGGCTGGAGTGCAATGGCGCAATCTCAGCTTACTGCAACTTCTGCCTCCCAGGTTCAAGCGATTCTCCTGCCTCAGCCTCCCTAGTAGCTAGGATTACAGGCATGTGCCACCACGCCCGGCTAATTTTGTATTTTTAGTAGAGACAGGGTTTCTCCATGTTGGTCAGGCTGGTCTCAAACTCCCGACCTCAGGTGATCCGCCCACTTCGGCCTCCGAAAGTGCTGGGATTACAAGTGTGAGCCACCGAGCCCAGCCATCATTTTGTATTTTTTGTAGAAATGGGGTTTCATTTTGTTGCCCAAGTGGTCTTGAACTCCTGGGCTCAAGAAATCTGCACACATAGGCTTCCCAAAGTGTTGGGATTACAGGCGTGAGCCACTGCACCTAGCCCCGTAAAAATTTCTTTTGAAGTGGCCGGGCGTGGTGGCTCACGCCTGTAATCCCAGCACTTTGGGAGGCCGAGGTAGGCGGCTCACCTGAGGTCGGGAGTTTGAGACCAGCCGGACCCACATGGAGAAACCCCATCTCTACTAAAAATACAAAATTAGCTGGACTTGGTAGCGCATGCCTGTAATCCCAGCTACTTGGGAAGGCTGAGGCAGGAGAATCGCTTGAACCTGGGAGGTGGAGATTGCAGTGAGCCAAGATCGCGCCATTGCACTCCAGCCTGGGCAAGAGCAAAACTCTGTCTCAAAAAAAAAAAAAAAAAAAAAAATTCTTTTAAAGGGCAGCTGTATAATGTAAATTCTAAAAATGATATTAATACTATTAAATATGTCATTATTGCTTGCCATACTCTGGGTCCATTGTAAGGAACTATACCAGGTAACAGAAAACCCAACTCTATTGCAACAAAAAGGGAATTTATTGGTTCAAGCAATCAAAACATCCAGTAGGACTGAAGTAGGACTAACTGCAGGTGCAGTTTGGTCCAGAAGTTCAGGATGTCATCAGTGTTCTTGTTTCTCTGCCATTCTCTCTGCTGTTCCTTTTTTTGGCTTTGACTTCCTCCTTAAGTGGGATCTTCCTCCTGACAGTAGTATTAGCTGCAGCAGTTCAGACCTTATGTCTTTACACCCTACCACCAGGAGGAAGAGAATCTCCTCGCATAGCTTTCCCTGAGTAGAGAGGAAGTTTCTTTCCCATTTACCCCAGAAAATTTCTCCTTGGTGCAGACTGGGTTCTATGTCTGTCCCTTACACGGATCACTGTGGCCAGAGGGTAGAACATGCTGTATGAGTCTGTTCTCACGCTGCTAATAAAGACATACCCGAGACTGGTACTTTATAGAGGAAAGAGGTTTAATTGACTCACAGTTTAGCATGGCTGGGGAGGCCTTAGGAAACTTACAATCATGGCGGAAGGGGAAGCAAACATGTCCTTCTTCACATGGAGGCATTCCAGCACAGGGGGTGTTGTCAATTCTGTCTAAGCCACCAGGCTGGGAAATTAAGGGCAGTATTAGGAAGGAGGAAAGACAGAATGAATGATGGGGAGGCATCCAGCGAATATCCTCTCCAGGGAATCTGTCTAAACTCTGTGGCTCCGTACTCACTGCCCATAGCTGAGTAGCACATGCTTGACCTAGTATGTGACAGAGATAGTGAGTTAGTCCCAGTCTTCTGCTTTTATTATAGTAGCAGACTTTGTAGTCTGCTGCTAAAGGCACATGGCTGCTAAGCTAGAGACTATATTTTCGGCCAAGCCCGGTGGCTCACGCCTGTAATCCCAGCACTTCGGGAGGCTGAGGCGGGTGGATCACCTGAGGTCAGGAGTTTGAGACCAGCCTGGCCAACATGGTGAAACCTCATCTCTACTAAAAATACAAAAATTAGCCAGGCGTGGTGTCTCACGTCTGTAATCCCAGCACTTTGGGAGGCCAAGGCAGGTGGATCACCTGAGGTTGGGAGTTTGAGGCCAGCCTGACCAATATGGAGAAACCCCATCTCTATAAAAATACAAAATTAGCCGGGCGTAGTGGCACATGCCTGTAATCCCAGCTACTCCGGAGGCTGAGGCAGGAGAATCGCTTGAACCTGGGAGGCGGAGGTTGCAATGAGCTGAGATCATGCCACTGCATGCACTCTAGCCTGGGCGACAGAGCGAGACCCCGTGTCAAAACAACAACAACAACAAAAAAACCCTATTTTTTCTAACTTCTTTTGTAGCTGTGGCCATGCGTTGTCACATAGTTATGGCTTATGGGAAGGAGTGTAAATGATTTGATCAACTTTGTTTCCTTTTTGTGAGAATGCTGCTAGTTGATCTTACCTTACTGCAATGTTGGTTTTAAGGCATAATGCAGATGTTTTCTGTAAGTTTTATGAGATCCCCACAACAAAGTATTCAATTTATTTATAATTTCAGCTTTTATTTTAGATTTGGGGGTACATGTGCAGGTTTGTCATAAGGGTATATTGTGTGATGTTGAGGTTTAGGAACATGATTAATCCTGTCACCCAGGTACTGAGCATAGGACCCAGTAGTTTTTTTGGTTTTTTGTTTTTTTGAGACAGCGTCTCACTTTGTCACCCAGGCTGGAGTGCAGTGGCACGATCTCGGCTCACTGCAACCTCGGCCTCCTGGGTTCAAGCGATTCTCCTGCCTCAGCCTCCCAAGTAGCTGAGATTACAGGCGCATGCCACCACATCTGACTAATTTTGGTATTTTTAGTAGAGATGGCGTTTCACCATGTTGACTAGGCTGGTCTCAAACTCCTGACCTCAGGTGATCCACCCGCCTCAGCCTCCCAAAGTGCTGGGATTACAGGCATGAGCCACCGCACCCGGCCAGAACCCAGTAGTTTTTTCAACCCTTTCCCCACTCTCTCCCTTCCCCTCTGGAGGCCCCAGTGTCAATTGTTTACATCCTTATGTCCATGTGCACCCAGTGCTTAGCTCCCACTTGTAAGTGAGAACATGCAATATTTGGTTTTCAGTTCGTGTGTTAATTGGCTTAGAATAATGGCCTCCAGCTGTATCCATATTGCTGCAAAGGACATGAATTTGTTCTTTTTTAATGGCTGCAACAATCAACTTTGGTGGTAGACTTTAAGGAATGAGCTTCCCTTTCCTCATCCTGCTGGCTGGAATGTAGGCCAGGAGTTGAACCGTTTGGACTCTTTGGTGAGGACAACCCTTAGAGATGGTGGAACAACAATATCAGGATTCTGGGCTCCCGAACAACCTAGAAGAGCAGGAGTGCCGCTGTGGGCCACCTGCCTCCTTACTATTTATTTATTTATTTATTTTGTGAGACGGAGTCTCGCTCTGTTGCCCAGGCTGGAGTGCAGTGGTGCGACCTTGGCTCACTGCAATCTCTGCCTCCTGGGTTCAAGCAATTCTCCTGCCTCAGCCTCCCAACTAGCTGGGATTGCAGGTGGGCACCACCACACCTGGCTAATTTGTGTATTTTTAGTAGAGACGGGGTTTCACCATGTTGGCCAGGCTGGTCTCGAACTCCTGACCTCAAATGACCCACTCCCCTCGGCCTCCCAAAAAGTGCTGGGATTACAGGCGTGAAGCACCGGGCCCGGCAGCCTCGTTACTATTTTGTGAGCAAGAAATAAACTTCTACTCTATTTGAGACATTGGTAATTTCAGTCTTCGTTTAAAGCAGTGGAAGTTACCAGAAATTTGTAAACTGTACCATAAGCTGAGTGTCCAGGCCAATTAGATTTGCTTTCTCCTAGGATATAAACTGGGAAAAATGGAAAATTTTCCAGTGGTTTCTAGACTTTAAATTGGTTATGAGAATACTGTGAAATTGAGTCAGTGACGTTTATTTCTTTTCTTTTCTTTTTTTTTTTTTGAGACAGAGTCTCACTCCCAGGCTGGAGTGCAGTGGTGCAATCTGGGCTCACTGCAACCTCCACCTCCCGAATTCAAGTGATTCTCCTGCCTCAGCCTCCCAAGTAGCTGGGATTACAGGCGCGCATCACCAAGCCCAGCTAATTTTTTGTATTTTTAGTAGAGATGGGGTTTCATCGTGTTGGTCAGGCTGGTCTCGAACTCCTGACCTCAGGTGATACACCCACCTCGGTCTCCCAAAGTGTTGTGATTACAGGTGTGAGCCACCTGCTTGGCCTATTTGTTAAATATTTAGCATATTTCAAATTTTTTTTTTGATACAGAATCTTACTCTGTCACGCAGGCTATAGTACAGCAGTGGTGTGATCTTGGCTCACTAAAACCTCAGCCTCCTGAGTAGTTGGGACTACAGCCATGTGTCACCACGCCTGGCTAATTTTTTGTATTTTTAGTAGAGATGGGGTTTCACCATGTTGGCCAGGCTGGTCTCGAACTTCTGGCCTCCAGTGATCTGCCCGCCTCGGCCTCCCAAAGTGCTGGGATTACAGGTGTGAGCCACTGCACCTGGCCAATCAATTCTAAGTCACGTGTTTTAGCACATTTTATTTTTCCCAAAATTAGGATATATTGTACAATCCATGGTGTCATACAACATGGTAGGTTTTGCCTACACTTGTGAGAACCCAGTCGTAGCTGTTCGTATTGTTATCACCTCAGCTGAGTTGTGAACCCTACTGGTACTACACTTCTTGAGTTGAATTGCTGTTTATAATGTCTTCAAATAACACACAGTACCAATTACATTAGCACTGTCCCAAATTAAATACTTACATATAAATCTAACAAAATACGTATAAGATCTACATGAAGAAAACTACAAAACTCTGATGAAAGACATCGAAGAAGATATAAATAAATGGAGAGAGTCCATGTTCATATATAGGAACACTCAACATTGTCAAGATGTCAGTTCTTTCCAAATTGATCTGTATCTTCAACACAATCCCAATCAAAATGCCAGAAAACCATTTCATGGATATTTACAAACTGATTCTAAAGTTTGTCTGGAGGGGCGAAAGACCCAGAATAGCCAACACAATATTGAAAGAGAGCAAAGTTGGAAGATTGACACGACCCAGCATCAAGACTTACTACAAAGCTCCAGTAGGGCTGGGCATGGTGGCTCATGCCTGTAATCCTAGTGCTTTGGGAGGGTGAAGCGGGAGGATTGCTTGAGGGCAGGAGTTGCAAGTTACAGTGAGCTGTGATTGTGCCACTGCACTCCAACCTGGGTGACAGAGCAAGACCCTGTCTCTAACAAAAACAAACAAAAGGCCAGGTGTGGTGGCTCACACCTGTAATCCCAGCACTTTAGGAGGCTGAGGTGGGTAGATCCCTTGAGCCCAAGAGTTCAACACTAGCCTGGACAACATGGTGAAACCCTGTCTCTATTAAAAAAAATAAATAAATAATAATAATAATAATAAACCAAAACCGCCGGGCGTGGTGGCTCACGCCTGTAATCCCAGCACTTTGGGAGGCTGAGGGTGGTGGATCACCTGAGGTCAGGAGTTCGAGACCAGCCTCAACATGGAGAAACCCAGACTCTACTAAAAATACAAAATTAGCTGGGCATGGTGGTGCATGCCTGTAATCCCAGATACTTGGGAGGCTGGGGCAGGAGAATCACTTGAACCTGGGAGGCGGAGGTTGTGGTGAGCCAAGATCTTGCCATTGCACTCCAGCCTGGGCAACAAGAGCGAAAGAAACTCCATCTTAAGGGAGAAAAAAAAAAAAAAGTAAAAGGCTACAAGTATATGACTTTCTGGAAAAAAACAGAACTCTGAAGACAGTGAAAAGGTCAGTGGCAGCCAGGGGTTGGTAGGGAGGGGAAGGAGGAATAAACAGAGCACAGAGGATTTTAGGGCAGTGAAACTTCTTTGTATGATACTATATATATACTGGTGCGTCATTATATATTTGTCTAAACCCATGGAACGTGCAACACCAAGAGCGAATCCTAATGTACACTATGCGATGGACTTTGGCTGATAATGACGTGTCAATGTAGTTCACTGATTGGAACAAATCTATCACTCTGGTGCCGGATGTTGATAGTGGGGGAGGCTGTGCATGTGTGGGGGTAGGAGTATAAGAAAACACTATACTTTCGGCTAGGCACAGTGGCTCATGCCTGTAATCCCAGCACTTTGAGAGGCCGAGGCGGGCGGATCACTTCAGGTCAGGAGTTCAAGGCCAGCCTGGGCAACATGGTGAAACCCCATCTCTACTAAAACTACAAAAAAAAAAAAAAAAAAAAAAAAAGAAGAAGAAGAAAAGAAAACTCTGTACTTTCTGCTCAATTTTGCTGTGAACCTAAAACTGCTTTTAAAAAATAAAGGCTATTCAGCCGGGTGCGGTGGCTCATGCCTGTAATCCCAGCACTTTGGGAGGCCGGGGCGGGCAGATCACTTGAGGTCAGGAGTTTGAGACCAGGCTGCACAACATGGCGAAACCTCATCTCTACTACAAATACAAAAATTAGCCAGGCATGGTGACGTACACCTGTAATCCCAGTTACTCCGGAGGTTGAGGCAGGAGAATTGCTTGAACCCAGGAGGCGGAGGTTGCAGTGAGCCGAGATAACACCACTGCACTCCAGCCTCGGTGACAGCAAGCGTGTCTCTAAATAAATAAATAAATAAATAAATAAATAAATGCTATTAAGAAAAAAAATCTTCAAAAAGATAACATGCTTTAAAACAGAAATCAAAAGGAAATGATGTATTAAGCATAGAAATAAAGTAGTGGAGCGAAAATTTGTTAGTGAAGACATCAATTTTGTTGACACTATTTGGTAAAACAAGAATGTGTCACTAGCTTAGAAGAAAATCTCGGAGACAGTAGTGGAGCACTTTTTAAAGAAATTCCGCTTCTCCAATGCCCTCGACAGTAGAGGGGACAGCAACACAGGCACTGATAGAAAGTGATTCAGAAGAGTCAGACTTTAAAGATTTTTTTGGAATATTTTAACCATATTATTTTTGTTTTTGTGTACGCACCAGAATTAGATTTTTTAATGGTCTGAAAGAGACTTCAATTAGCATAAAATAAAAATTGAAGTGTTAAGAAAGCATTGTATCATGGTTTGGCCGGGTGCTGTGGCTCACACCTGCAATCCCAGCACTTTGGGAGGCCGAGGCAGATGGATCACTTGAGGTCAGGAGTTTGAGACCAGCCGGACCAACATGGTGAAATGTCATCTCTCCTAAAAATACAAAAATTAGCCGGGCATGGTGGTGCACGCCTATAGTCCCAGCCACTCAGGAGACTGAGGCAGGAGGATCGCTTGAACCTAGGAGACAGAGGCTGTAGTGAGCCAAGATGATGCCACTGCACTCCAGCCTGGGCGACAGAGCCAGACTCTGTCTCAAAATAAACAAACAAACAAACAAACAAAAGCATGATGTATAACACTTGAAAGTATTTAAGTCAGTGAAATGCAGGATCGAGTACCCTCTGTGTAATGTGCCTAGTTGTGGACCCAGTGGATACAGCACTAAACTTGACAGATGAGGTACCTCTTCGTAGTTTATATTATAGTTTGGGGAGACAGGCAGTAAACTAGAAATTAGAGGTTATGCTAAATTACATGAAGGAAATAGGGTGGTGTGGTAGAGAGTGACTGGGAGGCAGCTACTGGGAGGCAGCTACTCAAGATTTGCTGGTCAGGGAATCGGAACTACCCTTAGACCTGGACAGGAGGGGCTCTTACTTGGCTGTCTGCTTAGTTCAGTACTTCTCAAACCGTAACTTCATACAGATTTCCTGAAGATGGTGTTAAAAGCAGATTCCGGGCTAGGCACGGTGGCTCATGCCTATAATGCCAGCACTTTGGGAGGCCGAGGCGGGAGGATCACCTGAGGTGGGATTGTAGAGGAGAGCAGTGGAGGGAGGGAGACCAGGAATGAGAGTGATGCTTTTCTGAGGACCCATGAATTGCCACTGAAGGTGTTTGGCAATGTGACCTGGGGAGGAGTGGGGGTTGAATGCTCTCTGAGCAAGGCAAGGCCAGAGTTATCAGCTCCTGAGAACTAAGATCGACGTGAGGACCAGATGGAGTCATTAGAAGGGAAACCATCTCAGATGATGAAGATTGTTTGAAATCAGATTTTTCCATAGAAACCCTGCAAATATAGCCCTTTGACATTTCTCTCTTCTTCCTTCTCCTAGCTCAGACTCCTGGAGATCAGGAGACCAGAACTTGTTCACCCTCCTCTACAGTGAGCAGACACTGACATGCCAGAAAAAAAAAAATGCATTTGGCTGTAATATTTGCAAGACCCAAGAAGGTACTGGGAATAAATTTATTTCCATAGAGGAAGTGGTTGGTGTTTTATGAGAAAGGGCACTCAGTCTCAAAAAAAAAAAAAAAAAAAAAGAAAAGAAAAAAAACCCCAAATAGTTAGAAATGCCGAGGGAGACTGTCAGAAATATAATAGTAGTGGGAAACTGTAATATAATTCTCTTCGACAAAGTAAGAAAAATATACAAACGTATAAAGAAACAGAGAATCTCAATGATAAAGTTGATTGATTAGTTAGCCTCTCATTCAACAAATATTTACTAAATGATATGTGCCAGGCCCTTTGCTGGATACCAGGAAGATATCAGCCATAAATACATCATCGGTGAACATCCTGAGCCTCCATCCTCCTGGAGCATGTATTCAAGTGCTATTTACTTGACTTTGTATCTCATAAATGGAGAACCTACCTTTTTCAATGCCAATAAAACATTTACAAATCTTGGTCAAATATTAGGCCGTGAAGGAGATATGAAATTCCCCAAACTTGAAATTGTACTGGACTGATACCCAGACCATAATGCAATAAACCAGAAATTTCTAAATGTTTAAGTAACAGCGACCTCTTAAAAAATCCCAAAATAGTTCTAATCAGTGAGAATATTCAAATTGCAAGTACAGATGATTATAAACAGACAATGAGATGAGGCTTGGTAGCTGATGCCTGTAATCCCAGAATTTTGGGAGGCCAAGGCAGAAGGGTTGCTTGAGGCCAGGAGTTCAAGACCAGCTTGGGCAACGCAGTGAGATCCCTGTCTCTCCAAAAAATTTTTACTTAAATTAGCCTGGCATGGTGACACACACCTGTAGTCCCAGCTACTCGGAAGGCTGAGGCAGGAGTATTGCTTGAGCCTAGGAGGTTGAGGCTGCAGTGAGCCAAGGTCACACTATGGGGCACAAATAATAACAGATTTTTAGGAGTGTGTTGCTGTTGTTGTTTTTTAAGAGACAGCATCTCGCTATGTTGCCCAGACTGGTCTTGAACTCCTGGCCTCAAGCAATCCTCCTGCCACAGCCTCCCAACATGCTGGGTTTACAGGCATGAGCCACTGCGCCCAGCCATGTTATTATTTGATAATGAACTAAGCTTGGTGTTAGGGGCTTCTCATACTTTGTTGTATATAATCCTCACAACTAACCTAGGGTAGCACCCTGCAGCTGAGTAGGCACTCAGTAAGTATTTGCTGAATGAGTGGATGTAGCTCCGAGTGAAAGTAAGTTGCCTGGCCAGGTGTGGTGGCTCGCACCTGTAATCCCAGCACTTTGGGAAGCACAGACGGGGAGGATCCCTTGAGCTAAGGAGTTCAAGACCAGCCTGGGCAACATAGGGAGACCTCTGTATTTTTTTTTTTTTAAGAGACAAAAAAAGGCCACCACACCCGACCTTTTTTTTTTTTTTTTTTTAAATAAAGTGACTTGCCTAAGACTACACAGCAGAAGTTAGTCAAGCTGGGGCTTACACTTAGGAGGCCTCTGCTTAGTTCTGTGCTTGTAACTGCGATGCTACTCGATCAACGTGGTTGTTGAAACATGCAGACAGGAAGAGCTAATGATTTAAGATGGCTTTAACCAAAACCTTTTTTTTTTTTTTTTTTTGAGACGGAGTTTCTCTCTTGTTGCCCAAGCTAGAGTGCAATGGTGCGATCTCGGCTCACTGCAGCCTCTGCCTCAGGGATTCAAGCGATTCTCCTGCCTCAGTCTCCTGAGTAGCTGGGATTACAGGCATGCACCACCATGCCTACCTAATTTTATATTTTTAGTGGAGACAGGGTTTCTCCATGTTGGTCAGGCTGGTCTCGAACTCCTGACCTCAGGGGATCCGCCTGCCTCTGCCTCCCAAAGTGCTAGGATTACAGGTGTGAGCCACCTCATCCGGCCATCAAAACCATTTTTCTGAGGCTTTTTGCTTACTTGTTTGTTACTTCTTTCTCTCTTCCCTCTCTCCTTTTCTTTCTTTCACACCAGAAAGATGTATATGGAGTACTCACTTGATACCGGGCATTGTTCCACATACTGGGGATTCAGGTGGGAGAGGTAGGCAATAGACAAGTAAACCAGCCAGGCGTGGTGGCTCACGCCTGGAATCCCAGCACTTTGGGAGGCCAAGGCGGGTGGATCACCTTAGCTCAGGAGTTTAAGACCAGCCTGGACAACATGGTGAAACCTCGTCTCTACTAAAAATACAAAAATTAGCCAGGCGCAGTGGCGTGTGCCTATAGTCTCAGCTGCTCGACCTTGTCTCAAAGAAACAAAACAAACAAAAAAACTGAGTAAGGGGAGATGTGACGACAGGAGGAAGGTGACAGACAGTGGAAATGTGGAATGGTACATGGACTACAGAGCCTGAGGGGTGAAGGATTGTTGGTGTGAGGGTACCAGAGAAGGGGATGAAAAGGTGGATAGTGGCGGGATGCCTGTCCTCAGGAGGTTGAAATGGGGCAGTTACTGATCATCACAGAGTCTACGGTTTGCTGTGGGAGTGCGTGGCTGAGGTGGGGTGGAGGAAAAAATTGTACCGAAGTGCAGAGGACAAGGAACTGAAGCGGGGTGGCGGGGATGGTTGGATTGCCTAGGTGGATGTCTGAGTCCACACAAATGGAGACGTGATTAATGGTGGAGACGTAAATTTAAGGCAAATGCTTAAGCCTTTGATGAAGCTGGTAGATGTTGGAAGATGATTGCAACAAGGAGGGGTAACGGATGCTACAGTGTGTTGGCATGTGCTTTAAAGACGCTTTGGCACAGGAAGACAAATATCACACTGGTGTGGTTGCTCACGCCTGTAATCCCAGCACTTTGGCAGGTTGAGGCAGTTGGATCATTTGAGGTCAGGAGTTTGAGACCAGCCTGACCAGCATGGTGAAAACCCGTCTCTACTAAAATACAAAAATTAGCTGGGTGTGGTGGCAGGCACCTGTAATCTCAGCTACTCAAGAGGCTGAGGAAGGAGAATTGCTTGAACCCAGGAGGGGGAGGTTGCAGTGAGCCGAAATCACGCCACTGCACTCCGGCCTGGGCAACAGAGTGAGACTCCCTCTAAAAAAAAATTAAAATTAAAAAGAAAAAAAGAAAGACAAACATCACATGTTCTCACTTATTTGTGGGGTCTAAAAATCAAAACAATTGAACCCACGGAGATAGGGAGTAGAAGGGTGGTTACCAGAGGCTGGGAAGGGTAGTGTGTGTGTGGGGTAGGGGCAGGGAGGAGAGGGGGGTTGTGGGGGCGGTAGGGATGGTTAATGGGTACAAAAAATAGTTTGAATAATGTCTAGTATTTGATAGCACAACAGAGTGACTACAGTCAATAATAATTTAATTGTATATTTAAAAATAACTAAAAGTATAATTGGATTGTTTGTAACACAAAGGATAAATGCTTAAGGGGGATAAATGCTTTTATGATGTGATTATTACACATTACATTCTTGTACCAAAACATCTCTTGTACCCCATAAATATATATACCTACTATGAACCCAGAAAAATTAAAAATAAAAAAATTTAAAACAACAGATGCCTTTGTTTTGTTTTGGAGAGAGGAGAAATGTTTTGGAAGGGACAGCTGCCTCACTGCAGGTATGTGGAGGGTGGGAGAAAAAGGAAATAGCTGCCTCCTTGGAGCGTTGCAAGGGAGCAATGTCTTTGCGGGAAGAGCCAGGTTCCTATGAGAGCAAGAAGGCAAACAAAACTGAGAGAAGAGCTTGATGATTTGGGGATTTTGTTTTGCGAACATACTTTAGGTTTCCAAGGGTGCAATGAAAGGATTTGGGGCAGGGTGGAGAGGAGAAAGGAGAGTGAACCCAAATGGAGATGAACGGAGTCCTTTGGGGTAAGTCTGGGTGAAGATGCCTGCCCTGGCCACTGTGGACTTCTGGGGTGCCCACAACTAACAGGGAGGTAAAGCATGATGTTCTTTTTGCAGAAGGTGGGAAGTAGTTGTAGTTGCAGTCCATGGCTTAGGGTTGACCTCTTATTTTGCAATAGTAATAACACAACAACTTATACCATTTATTAAATACTTATCATGCTGAGAACTCTTCTAAGAATTTGCATTTATTAATTATTAATTATTTATTTGCATAATTTAAATGCAAATTATTTATTTGCATTTATTAATTTATTAATTGCCTTTGGTCTCACAAGTTCTGTGGAATAAGTACAGTTAATACCCCATTTTACAGGTGAGGAGACAGACACGGAGAGCTTGAGTCACTTATCCAGTGTGTGAAGTTAACTTGGGAGCCTTGATTTAAACTCAGGTGATGTGGACCCCTAAGCCTCAAACTTTATCTTTTTTTTTTTTTGAGACGGAGTCTCACTCTGTCTCCCAGGCTGGAGTGCAGTGGCACAATCTCGGCTCACTGAAACCTCCGCCTCCCAGGTTCAAGTGATTCTCCTGCCTCATCAGCCTCCTGAGTAGCTGGGATTACAGGCATGCACCACCATGTCCAGCTAATTTTTGTATTTTTAGTAGAGACAGGGTTTCACCATATTGGTCACGCTGGTCTCGAACTCCTGACCTCAGGCAATCCACCCACCTTGGCCTCCCAAAGTGCTGGGATTACAGGCGTAAGCCACTGTGCCCGGCAAACTTTATCATGTTCTATTCCATCTCCCATTATAGTGGTGAAGTGGGCAGTAGTGATCTTACCTGAAGCTCTTGGAGCCCTGTGGGTCTCCCTTAAGTTCCTTCATGTATTTCAAAGAAAACTTGACAGAGTGTTTCTGATTCTTTGCATGGCCAATCATCAATGCCTGGTATAAGAGAGACTGGCTCCAGCTGGGCGAGGCAGCTGGTGCCTATAATCCCAGCACATTGGGAGGCTGAGGCAGGAGGATTGCTTGAGGCCAGGAGTTTGAGACCAGCCTGAGCAACATAGCAAAACCCTGTCTCTACTAAAAATACAAAAAATTAGCTGGGTGTGGTGGTGCGCACCTGTAGTCCCAGTTACTTGGGAGGCTAAGGAGGAGAATTACCTGAGTCCGGGAGGTTGGGGTGGCAGTGAGCCAAGACTGCATCACTGCACTGCAGCCTGGGCAACAGAGTGAGACCCTGTTTCAAAGAGACAGAGAGAGGCCGGTCGCAGTGGCTCACGCCCGTAATCCTTCCACTTTGGGAGGCTGAAGCAGGCAGATCACCTGAGGTCAGGAGTTCGAGACCAGCCTGGACAACATGGTGAAACCCCATCTCTACTAAAAATACAAAAATTAGCCTGGTGTGGTGGTGTGTGCCTGTAGCCCCAGTTACTTGGGAGGCTGAGGCACGAGAATCTCTTGAACCCGGGAGGTGGATGTGGCAATGAGCTGAGATCCCACCACTGCATTCCAGCCTGTGTGACAGAGCAAGAGTATGTCTCAAAAAAGAAAAAAAAAAAAAGAAAAAAAAAAGAGCGAGACAGAGACAGGCTTCTAGGAAGGAAGGGCTTCCATAGCAAACATTTCTTAACTATCCCAGGAAATTGCCTCATTTTCCCAGAAGCGGAATGGCGAAGGGGTTAAAAGTGCATATTCTGGAGACAGATTGCCTGTGTTTGTTCACAGCCTACTTGGTTACTTTATCTTCACCTCCCTGTGCCTCAGTTTTCTCATCTGTAAAATGGGGGGTAATAAACACCTGACTTAAGTTTGTTGTGTGAGGAATAGACTGATAAATGCCAAGTGATTAGAACACAGTCTGGCACAGAGTAAGCGCTATATGAACGTTTGCTACTTGTAATTTCCATGTCAGACCAGTAAAGTTTGGATCTCAGAAGAGTTTCTCCAGAGTCTAATTCTAAATCTGCTCGTGACCACCCAGCTAGTAACCAGATGAGTCCAGTTTCAAACCAGGTTTGTTTAAATTCATAGTTCATGGTTCACCTGTCAGCAATTGATTGAACAACTAGACAAAAACCAGTAAGGAGATAGAAGAACTCAACAATGTCATAAACAAACAGGATGTAGTGAATACTTATAGATCATTCCACCCAATGACAGGAGAATACGTATTCAAGTACTCATGCAACAGATACCAATATAGTGCATATATCCCGGGCCATCAAACCAACCCCAATACATTTTAAAAAATTGAAATTGGCCAGGCGCTGTGGCTCACGCCTGTAATCTAAGCACTTTGGGAGGCCACGGAGGGTGGATCCCCTGAGGACGGGAGTTCGAGACTAGCCTGGGCAACATGGTGAAACCCTATCTGTGCTAAAAATACAAAATTAGACCGGGCACGGTGGCTCAAGCCTGTAATCCCAGCACTTTGGGAGGCCGAGGCGGGCAGATCACGAGGTCAGGAGATCGAGGCCATCCTGGCTAACACGGTGAAACCCCATCTCTACTAAAAGCACGAAAAGAAAAAAATTAGCCAGGTGCGGTGGCGGGCGCTTGTAGTCTCAAAACAAAAACAAAAACAAAAACAAAACAAAACAAAACAAAACAAAACCCAAGAAAGCAAAAACAAAACAAAAAAACCCACAAAAACACAAAATTAGCCAGGCGTGGTGATGCATGCCTGTAATCTCAGCTACTAGGTAGGCTGAGGCAGAAGAATCGCTTGAACCCGGGAGGCGGAGGTTGCAGTGAGACGAGATTGCACCATTGCACTCCAGCCTGGGCGACAAGAGCGAAACTCTGTCTCAAAAAAATAAAAGAAAAAAGAAAAACGATTGAAGTCATACAGAGCCACATTTTTGGGTTCCTTGGGATTCTCAATGCCTCTCAAAACCACACTGTGTCCCCTGAGAAATGGGGGGATCCCTGCCCCCCGTGTGACACTGATTCCGGGGATTTAGGTGCTGTGCTGTGGTGTTTGTGCCCTGCTGACCTTCCAGAGGCTCTATACAGTGACTCTTCCTTCAGCCTCTGCCTGTGGTTCCTCTTGCAGGGCTCAGACGTCAGTCCATGAGGCTGGGTTGAGACTAGCATCCCAAACAGATCCATGCTGCCCTTCCCATCCCACCACACTTCTTTTTTTTTTTTTTTTTCTTGAGATGGAGTCTTGCTCTATTGCCCAGGCTGGAGTGCAGTGGTGTGATCTCAGCTCACTGCAACCTCTGCCTCCTGGGTTCAAGCAATTCTCTGCCTCAGCCTCCCAAGTAGCTGGGATTACAGGCACCTGCTACCACGCCTGGCTAATTTTTGTATTTTTAGTAGAGACAGGGTTTCACCATCTTGGCCAAGCTGATCTTGAACTCCTGACCTTGAGATCCACCCACTTCAGCCTCCCAAAGTGCTGGGATTACAGGCGTGAGCCACTGCACCCGGCGGCTCTTCTCTTCTTTACCTGTCTAACTCTTACGTGTCCTTCAGGTCACTGTTTGGGTGTCATTTCCTCCTGGTAGCCTTCACTGACAGCCCTGAGGCTGTCTTAAGTGCCTCTGATATACCCTAAGGGTCTGTAACTCATCATTGCACCAATTACACTGTACTGTTATTTTCTGCTTACTTCTCTGTTTATTCCAGGCTTCCCTCTAAGCCAGACACCTTCAGATTTTTTTTTTTAAAAAGTAGAGATGAAGTCTCAATATGTTGCCCAGGCTGGTCTTGAACTCCTGACCTCAAGTGATCCTACAACGTCAGCCTCCCAAAGTGCTGGGTTTACAGGCCACTGCACCCAGCCTTTCAGATGCTTTGAACATGGTCCACAGTAAGAAATACATTTTACATCAGGATGCAGCACATACACATATAAGCATATATCGTATGTATAACAAATGTTTCACAAAATAGTTATTAATTATACATGTGATACATATTTTTATCTATTCTATTTCATTAAAAAAAGATGCTGCTTGAGGCTCACTAAATTGACTTCATGATCCACACAAAATTGTATAAACCTGCATTTTGGAAATCTTGTCCTGGACTAGGGGCTGGCAGACTTTCTGCAAAGGATCTGTTCATAAATATTTCAGACGTTGTAGGTCATATAGGGATTCTGCTGCAATTGCGGCACTCAAACCCTGCCGTTTGCATCCAGAAAGTAACCACGGACAATACAGAAAGAAATGGTTGTGGCTCTGCTTCAATATAAATTTATAGACCCTGTAATTTGAATTTCGAATAATTTTCTCGTGAAATCTTCTTTTTTTTTTTTTTTGAGACGGAGTCTCGCTCTGTCACCCAGGCTGGAGTGCAGTGGCGCAATCTCGGCTCACCGCAAGCTCTGCCTCCTGGGTTCACGCCATTCTCTCGCCTCAGCCTCCCAAGTAGCTGGGACTACAGGTACCCGCCACCAAGCCCGGCTAATTTTTTGTTTTTGTATTTTTAGTAGAGACGGGGTTTCACCGTGTTAGCCAGGATGGTCTCGATCTCCTGAACTCGTGATCCGCCTGCCTCGGGCGCCCAAAGTGCTGGGATTACAGGCGTGATGGGATTACAGGCATGAGCCCGGCTGTGAAATCTGATTATTAGATTACGAGCCATGCAAAAACAAAAGGTGGGCTACATTTGGCTGGAAGCCGTAGTTTACTGATCCCTGCCCTAAACTGTAAGCTTTATGGAGGCAGAGACCATTATGTGTCTTTTTTCCCCATTGCGTCGCTAAGGTTCGGCACAAAGCCTTGTGTATTCAATCAATAGTTGGTAAGTGAATTATTAAAGAGCAATTTGTATATTAAGCATTTTTATTACAAAAGCACTTGTGTTCATGGAAGAAAAATGAGCAGTCCAGCTAAATAAAATGAATAAACAAATCCTTAGTAACCCCACCACTGGGAGATAACCACATCCTTTCCTATTGTTATGTAATAGATGTCAGGAGTTAGGAAAAGCTTATTTTTTGGCCAACGGAGTGGTGAAAAGGTCTATTTCTCCTCAGTCCACGAGAGACCCAGGCTTCCCCTTTCTGGCTGTAGGAGGTGAAGCTGAGAGAAAAGATGAGGAGGGAGGGTTGAAAGTATGGGGGGAAAGCAATCTGATAAGCAGTTAACGAGCTCCTACTGTATGCTGCCATATGCCCGGCCAGGCTAGACCCTGGGGGATAGAGGTAGCACCCACCCCTTCTGGGTTGACCGTTGAAAGGGTAGACAAGAAATTGTGTGATAAAGGTCATCAAAGGGCATATGCAAGGTGCTATGAGGGCTTAATAGGGAGAGGGGTGTCTAACCTCATCTGGGGGTCAGGAAATGCTTCCTTTCCTAAGGAAGTGACATTTAGGCTGCCACCTAGGCTAAGAATTAGTTGAGCAAGAACATGGGAAGTTCTGGCCAGGTGCAGTGGCTCACACCTGTAATCCCAGCAGTTTGGGAGGCCGAGGTGGGTGGATCACCTGAGGTCAAGAGTTGGAGACCAGCCCGGCCAACATGGTGAAACCCCGTCTCTACCAAAAATACAAAAATTAGCTGCACGTGGTGGCAGGCGCTTGTAGTCCTAGCTACTTGGGAGGCTGAGGCAGGAGAACCACTTGAACCCGGGAGGCGGAGGTTGCAGTGAGCCAAGATTGTACCACTGTACTCCATCCTGGGCAATAAGAGCGAAACTCCATCTCAAAAACAAAACAAAACAAAAAACACATGGGAAGTTCCACAGTGAGAGAGCGCGTCTTTATTTAGAAGCATCTGGCTGCAGAGTTGACAGGGGAAGGAAATGGCATGAGATCAGCCTGCAGAGGTTGGCAGGGACCACATCAGCAGAACCTTGTCATCTCGATCTAACTACTGGTTGACAGGAACTGAAGAAGATAAATGAACACATGAAAAAACACCCTGAGGAAGTAATCAGCCAGCTCCTGAGTGAGGAACATTTTACGGGACAAATGATTCTGTGTCTTGTCAAATCAGTGTCATGAAATAAAAAATAAAAGCCAAGGAGGTATGTTACAAAATGAAAGAGACTTAAGAGTAACATCAACAGGGCTGGGTGCGGTGGCTCACGCCTATAATCCCAGCACTTTGGGAGGCCGAGGCAGGCGGATCACGAGGTCAAGAGATTGAGACCATCCTGGCCGACATGGTGAAACCCTGTCTCTACTAAAAATACAAAAATTAGCTGGGCGTGGTGGCGTGCGCCTGTAGTCTCAGCTACTTGGGAGGCTGAGGCAGGAGAATTGCGTGAACCCAGGAGGCGGAGGTTGCAGTGAGCCGAGATTGCACCACTGCACTCCAGCCTGGGCGACTGAGCAAGACTCCTTCTCAAAAAAAAAAAAGAGTAACATCAACAGGACTTAATTGTTCACCTTAATCCCTTGGTTAAGGTGGTATCTGCCAGGTTTCTCCTCTGTTTTTCCCTATCTATACTCAGTGACTGAAGTCATTAAGGGCAGCCCACACTGTTAAGAGCTAAGGGAAGTCACTGAAGGGACTGAAGCGAGGGAGAAATGAGGTCAGATGTCTTTTTTTTTTTTTTTTGAGACAGAGTCTCACTCTGTCACCCAGGCTGGAGTGCAGTGGCGCGATCTTGGCTGCCACCTCCACCTCTCAGGTTCAAATGATTCTCCTGCCTCAACCACCTGAGTAGCTGGGATTACAGGCCCATGCCACCACACCCGGTTAATTTCTTTTCTTTTCTTTTTTTTTTTTTTTTGAGATGGAGTTTCACTCTTGTCCCCCAGGCTGGAGTGCAATGACGCGATCTCGGCTCACTGCAACCTCCGCCTCCCAGGTTCAAACGATTCTCCTGCCTCAGCCTCCCAAGTAGCTGGGATTACAGGCATGTGCCACCATGCCCGGCTAATTTTGTATTTTTAGTAGAGACGGGGTTTTCTCCATGTTGGCCAGGCTGGTCTCGAACTCCTGACTTCAGGTGATCCACCTGCCTCGGCCTCCCAAAGTGCTGGGATTATAGGCGTGAGCCACCGTGCCCGGCCCTCAGATGTCTTTTTTTGAGGAGGAATACTCTGGGCTGCAATGTGGCGATGAGATACGGTGGAGTTTGCAGCAGGAATGGACATACCTTGATGGACTTGAGTGATTTCAGAAGAGCTCAGCAGGAGTTGATTATTGAATACGAGGTGGTGAGAAAAGGTGGAGTTGGGTGGCTGGGGCCTTTCACTGAATCCAAACCAAGGATCTGTGTGGTCCCAGGAGGTTGATTGCTTCTCCCGCCCCCAGGAAGAAGCCACTTTCCTTGCCTTGGGGCCGGTCCCTGAGGGTTACCGGGGCTGGAAAGTGACTAGCCAACACATAATTAGGAGAACCATGGGATTACCAAGGAGGGTCACAATCCCTGACTGTGAGTTAAAGAAATGACAGCCGTTGAGGGGACTAAAAGGGTCTGGGGGAAAGTAAGTCATCCCTAACTCCTTTTCCGATGCGGGCGGATCACCTGAGGTCAGGAGTTCGAGACCAGCCTGGCCAATATGGCGAAACCCTGTCTCTACTAAAAATACAAAAATTAGCCGGGTGTGGTGGCGCATGCATGTAATCCCAGCTCCGGAGGGTGAGGCAGGAGAATCGCTTTAACCCGGGAGGCAGAGGTTGCAGTGAGCCGAGATCGTGTCCCCTGCACTCCAGCCTCGGTGACAAGAGGGAAACTCCGTCTCAAAAAACAAACAAACAAAAAAATCTTTCTCTTCGTTCCCAGTTTAATGGCCCAATTATGAGCGTGTAATCAAAAGATCCATGACTCAGTGGTTTCAAACAAGTAATTTTATTTACCTTTTCATGTTTTACCAACCTGTCCTCCCCCTAGGCCTTGAGTGTTTTCACGTTTTCCTTTCAGTGTTTGGGAGCTGGGGACTACTAGGGTATCAGCATTCATTTCCGCCGGCGGGCCCCCCGCCCAGGTTTCTTTTCTCCTCGGCGCCTTCGGGTGGGGGCAGGAGGAGCAGAGGGAGTTGGGGATGGGGGTGGGGGCCCGGGCGCCGGGCGGGCCCCGCTCCCTTGAGCAGGCTTGTAAACCAGGTGGAAGATGAAGGCATTGCAGTACCTGCGGGGGCGCGGGGCGCAGTCAGGGACCACGGGGCGGGACTCCCAGGGGTCGGCGCTCCCAGGGGTCGGGGCTCCCAGGGGCGCGGTCAGGGACCAGGGGGCGGGGCTCCACCGGGCGGTCAGGGACCAGGGGGCGGGGCTTGCCCCTCTGAGTTCCAGGGCGTGGGGCTAGACTCAGGGTTGGGTCTGTTGGAGGGTCGCGGGGTCTTTTGTGGGTTGGGGAGATTCCGTGAGCTAGATCTAAAGAGGGGTGTGCTGGGGGATGTCGAGACCTCCCATGGGGGCGACGAGTAGTGGGGACAGAGAAGGCAGGTTGCTGGGCTGGGGGCAGGAGGGCCCCAGGACAGCAGGGACTAGGGTAGAGGTGGGCCTTCGAGGATGTGGAGCCAGAGAGTAAGAGAAGTTAAGGGTCAGGAAGGAAATAGGGTCGCAGACCCTTACCAGGACATGCAGTTGTCGGCCGCTCTGAGGCGAAAGGGGGAGCGGAAGGGGTTGGGCTGGGGAGGGCTGGTGCCCCCTCCAGTGGCCACCGCCATGGTCTGGCCGTCCATCACACAGCTGTACTCGCTGCTCTCGGTGAAGAAGGCTGGCACTCGGAGGGACTGGGGTGGAGCGAGAGTCGCTCTGAGAGGCCCCTCCCCAAATCCATCCCAGCAGCCAGAATGACAGACCGGGCTGAAAGCCGAGGTCCCCGGACAGACCGGGCGGAGGGGAGCAGGGGGAGGACGGAGACAGACACAGAGAGAGGCAGGGGGACCCGTGGGCACTCCCCAGGTTTGTGGAGCAGGTGATGGTGAAGAGGAGGAGAGCCCAGAGACTTTCAGAAAAGGAGATGGGGAGGGGCCAGGCAGGAGGGGAGAGAAGTTCCCTTTTGCCCCCATTGCCCACCTGTAACCGGGGCAGAGACCTCAGCCACGTATCCTTGAGAGCAAACCCGGAGTTAAATCCTGCAGACAGAGAGGAGGGAGAAGCTGGCTCCCACGGTGGGCTTCTCTCCCACCTTCCCCACATGCCTAACCCTGAGACCCAGGCTTTTACCAATAACCAGGTCAGGCTTGGGCCCCTGGAACAGGTGGTAGGGCCTTGCTGACACCTTGATCTGCAGGTCCCTGCGGCCCCCTTTCTCCTTAGTGCCAGAGCTGGGCCGTGCTGATATGCCGGAACCAGGCCGGACAGACACCTCCAGGCTGTCCTGAGGGGCCCCAGGAGTGGGGTGGAAAAGCCACTGGAAGTCAGGGAACTGGAGGATGCACCAGGCAAGATGGGGAGTGGGGGGCAGAAGGGCAGGACCCAACCAGGAGGTCACTGGAGGGGTCAGGGCTGAAAAGCAGGGCCCCCTCAGCCCTCACCCTCTGCAGGGTAAAATGCTGCTCGTCGCTTTCGGGGGGCAGGCCATCACCTACAAACTGCAGCTCCAGGGCCACATGGGGGAGCAGGACCAAAAGCTCCTGAAGGACAGAAAGAAAGAAAGATCTGGGGTCTACCCTGTGCCCACCCCCATACCAAAATGCCCAACCTTCAGGCCTGGGGTGACTTACCCAAAACACCATGACAAGGTCAAACTCCTTCCCGGCCTCCACCACGTGGATCTTCAGTGACTGTTTGTTTTGGATGTTGAGCTCAGGGACTGGGTGAAAAACCAGCGCTTTAAGGATGTGGTCCACTCTCACTCCCCCATCCTGCTCCACCCCCCACTCCGCTCTCCTTACAGGACTGGGGCACCAGGTGGGTGATGACGTAGTACACGGTCAGCGGGTAGGTGAGAAGCACGGCTATGGGGGAGTCCAAGCTGAGGCCCCGCCATGTGTAGTAATCCTGCCATGAGCCTGGCAGGAGAGGGTTGCTAGAGGACCTGGCCCTGGACCCCCACCCCCTCTAGTCTAACAAACCTCTTCTTCACAGCCACCCAGGCTCTGGTTCTCCAGTCCCTGGCCCTACCCCTAGCTTCCACAGGGCCCCTCCAGCTCACCAAAAACACCCCGGGGTGGATGTGGGGGCACAGGAGGCATCAGGGCAGTCCCGTCTCCCTGGAGAAGCTGGTAGGGGTCTCCTGAGAGGATGAAAGAAGGAGGGGCCTGGGGTCAGGGAGACCCCCACCTGACCCATCTCTTTCTTCCTTCCAAAGGGGCTGTATTCCCTGAGACAGCCGCAGTAAGAGGAATGGGGGTTTGCATAGGGATGGGGTTTCTGGGTGGAGTTGGTAGGGGTGATTCCATTGAGGGCTGGGAAAGGCCTGAAATGGCCCTGGTGCTGTTGGTAGGGGTCAGTGTGTATGTGGAGGGATCATCTGGGACCCAGACAACTTCTTCCCAGTCCTTCCCTCTAGGCCAAGGGGCCCATGCCTGGAGAGACCCCACGCACCACCGCGAAGAAGGCTGAGGGATGGCGTGTTGCCTCGGGGGTGTCTGGAGAAGCCCGGGCCTGGAATCAGCATGCTGAGCTGGGTCCAATAGCCACGAGTGAGGCCCCGAGAGGCCAGGAAGGCCTCTTTGTTGAAGGTTTCACTGGTCACCTCTGGAGAAGGAGAAGGGGAGGAGTTGAGGTGCTGGGCTAGAACCCCAGACATTTTTTTTTTTTTGAGACAGAGTCTTGCTCTATCACCCAAGCTAGAGTGCAGTGGCGTGATCACGGGACACTACAGCCTCGACCTCTTGGACTCAAACGATTCTCCCACCTCAGTCTCCCGAGAATTGTGACCACAAGCGAGTGCACCATGCCTGACTAATTTTTTCTATTTTTTGTAGAGACAGAGTCTATGTTGCCCAGGCTGATCTCAAATTCCTGGGCTCAAGTTGGCCTCCCAAAGTGCTGGGATTACGGGTGTGAACCATTGCCCGGCCTAGAACCCCAGCCTTGAACTCTCCCTAGCCTCCCGCGAGGACCCTGGTTCTAAGTCTGGTTCCAGTCAGGCCGGGAACTACCATTTCTGAGTGCCTCCAGCGTACCAGGCACCAAGCCAAGATAATCCTTGTAACAATTCCATGGGCCTTCTCCGTATCCCTCATGAGGACACGGAAGCTTCAAGAAGTAAAGTGGTTTGTTTAAGGTCACACTGCAGTTAGTGGTGGAGCTGGGAAGCAAGTAAGTGTTTGAATCCCTGTCCCCCAATCCCTGCACGCTCTCAGGGACCCAGACACTCAGGCCTCGGCTTCAGAGACCCTGTCTCCAGCCCCAAACACCCAGCCCCTGCCCTTGTTCCAGGGATCTAGGCTCTAGCCCCAGACACTCAGCCTTCAACTGCAGGACCCTGTTCCCAGACATCTAATTCCCAGTCTCAAAGACCTGGTCCCAGTTTCCCCCAACCATTCTGACCTCCTTATGGTACCTGCGGTGTAGGTAAAAGGCAGGGTTGCCAGTTCTCCTGCCCGCTCCATGAAGGCTGCAAGCCTTGGGCACCAAAATCGGTGACTCACATCATCTGGGCACCGCTGCCAGTCAGCCCGGAGACAAGCCTCTCCACAATACAAGACAGCACTACACTGGGGGCTGGGGACACAGCGGGTGGTGGGCACCTAGTGTTAACCTCTGTAGGTCCTGTCTGCTGTTCAACTGCCCAGCAGCTGCCCATATGTCACTCGGTCTGTTTGTCTTACACCCTCTAACCGCCTGTAACAGTCTGTATTGTTTCCTCTGCATCTTCTCATGTCCCTGCCTCTCCTTCTGTCTGCTAGGCGCCCCCCACCACCCTGCCTTCCTTCTATTTGCCTATTGGGGTCTTCCTCTCCCCCAGCTTTGGGGCTGCTCACCAAGGTGTCAGCTTCGCTTCAAAGCTGTGCCTGTGACACACATGGCAGGTTCGAGCACGAAGGGAAGCAAAGGTGAAGCCTGGCCGGGGACCCCATGTCCGCATTGGGGTTTTGGCTAACTTCACACCTAGCCTTGGGACCAAGCTCTCCAGCTCTCTAAATGCAGTTGGGGGGGAGATGGCATCAGGCTGGAGGAGGTGCTTGGGAATCCAGGGCCCGAGTCCTCCCCAGCCTCAGATACCAGATTTCTATACCGATGCAGCCGGGCATCTCCCACAGTAAGCTGTCGGGGCTTTCGGGGATCCCCAGAGCCCATGGGACAGGCCATGCTGTGACAGAGGAGAGCATAGGCCCAAGGAGCCAGGTCCTTGGTCCCTGAGCCCCAGCTTGCGGTTCCCTGGGCTCCATCCACTAGCAGATCAATGCCCAAGATGGTGCCATGCTCATCCGTCACAAGTAAGAGACAGGAAACGTGCAGGGGGGCAGCCTCTGGGGAAAGAGGGAAAAGTTGAGGTGGTAGGGGGCAGCGAGAGACAAATGTGGTCAGGGTCAGGAGTACCAAACTCAAATACCTACGGGGCTAGGCAAGTAACCTCACTGAGTAAAGGGCTCTGGGTAGAGAGGGCACGCTCCTTCTAAAGGGGACAGCTGCTACAGAGGACCAGAATGCGCTGCCATGCAGAAATGTAGGCCCACTGTCAGAGCTTGAGATTTTTCTTGGGAATGTGTAAATCCAGACTTCTGGATACTTTTTTTCTTGCAATGTTTAAACATTAAATTAAAAAAAAAAACCCCACTGTGGGTCAATAAAAACACCTTTTCAGGCCAGATTGGCCTGAAGGCCAGCACTCAGAACTAGTGGCAGGGGAGGGCTTCCGAAGGGAGGATGGCTGGGCAAGGGGTAGGGCAGGGCCAGCCCTGGGTTCTTACCACTCCTCTGTCCCTTCCTCTTCTGGGGTCTTGTTTCGTTCTCCACCCTGTCCTCTCGGCAGCCATCCTTGCCACCTCCTGCCTCCCGGGCAGCCTCCTCTGACTCTCCTGGAGGGTTTGTTTCCTGGGGGGACTCCCTGCTGGTAGGGGCTAGCTCCCGGTCCTCCTCTGGTTCCACCTTCTCTGTGCTGCCTGCACCCCCGTCCTCTCTCTTCTCTTCTTCTTCATCTTCCTCCTCTTCCTCCTCCCCTTCCTCCCCATCCTCTAGGCTGACAAAGCTGATGTAGGGGCTCAGGTCTCGCAGGTGGAGTGGAGGGTTGTCTCCCAGGAGCCAGGCAGTCCCCAGGCCTGGTCCAGGACCTGGTTCTGCCCCTTGCCCCAGGCTGATGCCCACACTATGGTTGGGCAGGACATGGAGCACCCAAAGGGCAGGGTCCTGGGGTAGCCTTCTGATCTGGGCCTCCAGCTGCCGGCAGCGGCCCTCAAGGCTAGTCCCTACAGCTCCACGCTCTGCCACAAACTTTCGGAACCAGCCGAAGAGAAGGGCAGTGAAATCAAGGAACTCATCCCGGTATCCAGACACAAACTCCATGTCTTCAGCGGCACAGGGCCCCGGCCCAGACTGAGCAAAAGAAGGGATATATGGTGAGGGACAGGAGAGCAATGATGGAGTTTGGGGCTGGGTCACAAATTGAGGGAGAGGGTAGGTTTGAGAGTCACTTAGGGTTGGATCCGTGGATATGCTAGGAGCGGAGAAGAGGATTTTTCAGGGCTGAGGATGGGAGTTTAGGGAGGAAAATGGGGGCTGGACTTGAAAGTGGGTGACCAGGGTTGGAGAAGACTACTCAGGGATGAGATGGTATTTGGGGCTTAAAATTGGAGAGTTCACACCCTCAAAAGCAGAGTTTAAATTAAGGCTAGAGAGGAGAGAGGGCTAATCCTATCGGGAACGGTTTGGTGGGGAGGGAAGCATTTTGGATGCGTCTGTGGGGTATGGGAGTGGGAGCGAGGGGGTTCCCTGGGCTCGGATCTGCGTGGCGGGCAGCCCCGGTAGACCTAGCCCCTCCCGGCCGCCCCACTCCTCCGGTACCTGCAGCCGCCACCACTTTTCGAAGGTAAATACCTCGCGGTGGAGGGTGCGCGGGTGCGGTTGTGACGTCAGGGCTGCCCGAGCCCTCGCCGGCTCAGCGGGCGGCCACGCCCCCCGGGCTCGGTGCGTCCGCGGGTGGCTGCCCCGCAGGTGCGCGCGGCCGGGGCTGGCGGCGACTCTCTCCACCGGGCCGCCCGGGAGGCTCATGCAGCGCGGCTGGGTCCCGCGGCGCCCGGATCGGGGAAGTGAAAGTGCCTCGGAGGAGGAGGGCCGGTCCGGCAGTGCAGCCGCCTCACAGGTCGGCGGACGGGCCAGGCGGGCGGCCTCCTGAACCGAACCGAATCGGCTCCTCGGGCCGTCGTCCTCCCGCCCCTCCTCGCCCGCCGCCGGAGTTTTCTTTCGGTTTCTTCCAAGATTCCTGGCCTTCCCTCGACGGAGCCGGGCCCAGTGCGGGGGCGCAGGGCGCGGGAGCTCCACCTCCTCGGCTTTCCCTGCGTCCAGAGGCTGGCATGGCGCGGGCCGAGTACTGAGCGCACGGTCGGGGCACAGCAGGGCCGGGGGGTGCAGCTGGCTCGCGCCTCCTCTCCGGCCGCCGTCTCCTCCGGTCCCCGGCGAAAGCCATTGAGACACCAGCTGGACGTCACGCGCCGGAGCATGTCTGGGAGTCAGAGCGAGGTGGCTCCATCCCCGCAGAGTCCGCGGAGCCCCGAGATGGGACGGGACTTGCGGCCCGGGTCCCGCGTGCTCCTGCTCCTGCTTCTGCTCCTGCTGGTGTACCTGACTCAGCCAGGTTAGCCGGGGGCGGGGCAGGGGACCCAGATTCCCCTGTCACGGGAAGGGGGTGAGTTGGGGAGGGGACACGAGGCCCACGGAGTTGAGTGGATGAAGGCAGCGGGGACAAGAGGAAAGCCAGCCAGCCGCCTGGGGTTGGGGACAGAGGCCCGGGGACGCCTGGCTCCGGGCGGGATTATGGATGTTGTCGGGGGCGTGATGATGTGTGGGTTGAGCCTGGCGCTCTGACCCTGGGTCCACCGAGAGGCTGTCATGGGGCTGTGGATTGGATGCCAGGGAACAGCGGAGTGGGGACCCTGGGCCTGGGAATGGGTGCCGACCACCTCCGTCCCGCGCAGGCAATGGCAACGAGGGCAGCGTCACTGGAAGTTGTTATTGTGGTAAAAGAATTTCTTCCGACTCCCCGCCATCGGTTCAGTTCATGAATCGTCTCCGGAAACACCTGAGAGCTTACCATCGGTGTCTATACTACACGAGGTAATTTTACCTGCCTCTGCGAGGGCAGCGCCTGGGCGGCCCCTCCTTGCAGGTGCCTCCAGGACCCTCTCTGGTCCAGCCTGAACTCCTTCCCGGCTCACCGAGCCCCATCTCCGGGTTCCGTTTGCTCTCATTCCCCGAAACTTCATGACTCCGTCTCACCTACTGGGGAGTTTCCCAGTCCCAGGAGAAAGGGCTCTTTCTTGGTGGCAACTTCACGCCTCTGGAATGAGGAAGGAGCCGGGGAAGGAAAGAAGGCGCCGCAGCTAAGCCCAGGTCTCTCCTCCGCAGGTTCCAGCTCCTTTCCTGGAGCGTGTGTGGGGGCAACAAGGACCCATGGGTTCAGGAATTGATGAGCTGTCTTGATCTCAAAGGTGAGACTTTTCCACTGCTCTTCAGGCTCTGCCTCCAGGGCTTAGCAGCTTCCACCTGACAGTTTTCTTTACCTGAGCCTTTTCCCCTGGGGCCGCACATTCCTAGAACCTTCTTCTGATCCTGTCCAAAGTACTTAGACTCGAGTCCCTGTTTGCCAAACGGGGTGATCATTCACCATCACCTTCATGAGTTTTGCCAATTCATTCTACCACGTGTGCTATTGTCTACTTATTAATATTTTTCTTGAAATCAAAGTACTATTTTATTTTATTTTTTTGAGATGGAGTCTCACTCTGTCACCCAGGCTGGAGTGCAGTGGCACGATCTTGGCTCACTGCAACCTCTGCCTCCCAGGTTCAAGAGATTCTCCTGCCTCAGCCTCCTGAGTAGCTGGGATTACAGGCGCGCACCACCAAGCCTGGCTAATTTTTGTATTTTTAGTAGAGACAGGGTTTCACCATGTTGGCCAGGCTGGTCTCGAACTCCTGGCCTTGTGATCCACCCGCCTCGGCCTCCAAAAGTGCTAGGATTACAGGCGTGAGCCACCACACCTGGCCTATTTTTCTTTTCCAATATTTTATTATGAAAATTTACACATATACAAAAGTTGAAAGAATGGCACACTGAATATCCAGTGCCTCCACCTAGATTCTACAATTTTATTTATATATGTATATTTTACATATTTACATAAACATATATTTTACACTATCAATTTTACAGCAATTACACGATATTTGCTTTATTAAGTATCCATCTATTCATTCTTCTATCCATCATCCATCACCTTATTTCTTGATGCATTTCTTTTTTTTTTTTTTTTTTTTTTTTAATGGAGTCTTGCTCTGTCGCCCAGGCTGGAGTGCAATGGTGCCCTCAGCTCACTGCAGCCTCCGCCTCCCAGGTTCAAGCAATTCTCCTGCCACAGCCTTCCGAGTAGCTGGGATTGCAGGTGCCCGCCACCATGCCCAGCTAATTTTTGTATTTTTTTAGTAGAGATGGGGTTTCACCGTGTTGGTCAGGCTGGTCTCAAACTCCTGACCTCAGGTGATCCACCTGCCTCAGCCTCCCAAAGTGCTGGGATTACAGGTGTGAACCGCAGTGCCCGGCCTCTTGATGCATTTCAAGGCAGATTGTGGACATCATTGCACTTCATCCCAAGACATTTCAGCATGTATATTAAGTAGAGTTCAATATTTTAATGCTTTTTTTTCTTTTGAGTTCAAATTTACATACAATGAAATGAATTACTTTTAAGTGTGCACAAACTAGTTTTGAAAACTTAAGTAGAGGCCAGGACGGTGGCTCACTCCTGTAATCCTAGCTCTTTGGGAGGTTGAGGCCGGTGGATCACCTGAGGTCAGGAGTTTGAGACCAGCCTGACCAACATGGTAAAACCCCATCTCTACTAAAAATACAAAATTAGCCAGGCATGGTGGCATGTGCCTGTAATTCCAGCTACTCAGGAGGTTGAGGCAGGAGAATCACTTGAACCTGGAGGCGGAGGTTGCAGTGAGCCGAGATCAGGCCATTGCACTCCAGCCTGGGCAACAAAAAAAAAGAAAGAAAACTTAAATAGTAAATTATCCTAAGCAATAATATCTGTGAAGTCACAAGTTTGATGCATTGGTTATATTTTTCTCTTAAAATAAATATACAACCATTAAAATACAAAAGGTTCTTCCATGTCCTAGCTAAAGTTTTGTAGGATCTGTGTCATCCATACTGCCTTTAAGTCTGCCTAGACCTCTATGATTTCCTTTCATCCTCCCAGGAACCCTGGCCCTTGGTACTACAATTATCCTCATTTTACAGCTGGAAGATATCACTTCCGGAGAGGTTAGGGACAAGGGGTGAGGTTACACAGCTACTTGAGGTTACACAGCTACTTTACAGCAGAGCTTGGAATCCAACCCTGGTCTTCTGATTTCCCAGTTCATGACACCCACTTGTCTCGTGGTTCGCTCACTTCCTTGTCCCCTACCTTTTCCGTCTGTCATCTGCCTTCCTCTTCTGGCCTTCAGCGTGATAACCTCCCTGACTCACTCTTCCCTCTGTTGGAGCTCAGAACATGACACTCCAAAACATGGCACCTTGGTAATTACGAAAACAGCAGAAGTAAGTAGCTCACTCTGCTCTGTTTTTCTGTGAGAGCTGGCCATAAAGGAATTCTCTAACTTCACGTGGAAGTAGGTCATAGGCTCTCATTTCAGATGGGTCCTGCCCTATACTTGGAGGCCAAGAAGAATCTGGACAGGCCTTGCTGGTCCCCCACCCCCCATTTATTGCCATTAGATCATACCCTTTTTGTCCAATCATACTTCTTTTTTTTTTTTGAGATGGAGTTTCGCTCTTGTTGCCCAGGCTGGAATGCAGTTGTGCAATCTTGGCTCACTGCAACCTCCACCTCCTGGGTTCAGGCGATTCTGCCTCAGCCTCCCATGTAGCTGGGATTACAGGCACATGACACCATGCCTGGCTAATTTTGTATTTTTAGTAGAGACTGGGTTTCTCCATGTTGGTCAGACTGGTCTCGAACTCCCGACCTCAGGTGATCCACCCACCTCAGCCTCCCAAAGTGCTGGGATTACAGGCGTGAACCACCGCGCCCGGCCAATCCAATCATACGTCTATACAGCTGTCCATTCTTCACAGCAAGCCTAAGCATAAAAATGCACTTTTCTCGGGTCTTTGTTTCTGAAGGTTCCTATGTCATGTAAAACTGTGATTAAATAAATGTTAGGCTTTTCTCTTGTTAATGTTTTTTATTTATAGGGGTATCAGCCTTGACCCTTGCGATGGGTGAGGAAAAGATATTACTTTTTCTCCCCTACACCTCTATCTGCTTTTTCACCTTGTCTCCTGATAGTCCTGATTCCTCATTTCTTTCCTTTCCAGAATGTGGACATGCTTACTCGGGGATTGTGGCCCACCAGAAGCATTTACTTCCTACCAGCCCCCCAATTTCTCAGGCCTCAGAGGGGGCATCTTCAGATATCCACACCCCTGCCCAGATGCTCCTGTCCACCTTGCAGTCCACTCAGCGCCCCACCCTCCCAGTAGGATCACTGTCCTCGGACAAAGAGCTCACTCGTCCCAATGAAACCACCATTCACACTGCGGGCCACAGTCTGGCAGCTGGGCCTGAGGCTGGGGAGAACCAGAAGCAGCCGGAAAAAAATGCTGGTCCCACAGCCAGGACATCAGCCACAGTGCCAGTCCTGTGCCTCCTGGCCATCATCTTCATCCTCACCGCAGCCCTTTCCTATGTGCTGTGCAAGAGGAGGAGGGGGCAGTCACCGCAGTCCTCTCCAGGTAAACTGGACCTTTGAACCCTCCCCCCAGGGACCCAGAGCCTTCCTGACAGGCATCCTGACCCAGTGGCTCTCAGGTGGCTGGAAACCTGGCCTTGGCACACAAGTATCAAGGTTGTCTGCACAAGGTTGACTCTGGGCCCTCTGAGGACAGTCAGTCGGGGACTGTAGACAGTGGAGAGGGAAGGAAGCCACCACAGGCACAAGGACTAGTGCTTGGAGCAACATCATGGAGAAGATGGCTAGAGCAAGCTAGTGGGAGATGAAGCTGTGGAGGGAGGTGAGGGCCAGTCATTCAATTCACAAATTTTCACTGAGCACCTACTGTGGGCCAGGTCATAGTGTTGATGTCTTCATCTGATTCCCTAGTTCAAGCTATCATCCCCCAAACACTGTCCTTGATCTCAGAGCTCATCTCTCAATTTCTTTATCCTTTCCAGATCTGCCGGTTCATTATATACCTGTGGCACCTGACTCTAATACCTGAGCCAAGAATGGAAGCTTGTGAGGGTAAACTGTGGCTTATTCTTACAAAAAGTGTAATAAAGGAGACTGACCCCTGACAACATGGTAGGCACTGTATACATACTTGTTTTTGTTTTTTGTTTTTTAGAGACGGACTCTATGTTGCCCAGGCTGTTATGGAACTCCTGAGTCAAGTGATCCTCCCACCTTGGCCTCTGAAGGTGCGAGGATTATAGGCGTCACCTACCACATCCAGCCTACACGTATTTGTTAATATCTAACATAGGACTAACCAGCCACTGCCCTCTCTTAGGCCCCTCATTTAAAAACGGTTATACTATAAAATCTGCTTTTCACACTGGGTGATAATAACTTGGACAAATTCTATGTGTATTTTGTTTTGTTTTGCTTTGCTTTGTTTTGAGACGGAGTCTCGCTCTGTCATCCAGGCTGGAGTGCAGTGGCATGATCTCGGCTCACTGCAACCCCCATCTCCCAGGTTCAAGCGATTCTCCTGCCTCCTCCTGAGTAGCTGGGACTACAGGTGCTCACCACCACACCCGGCTAATTTTTTGTATTTTTAGTAGAGACGGGGTTTCACCATGTTGACCAGGCTGGTCTCGAACTCCTGACCTGGTGATCTGCCCACCCAGGCCTCCCAAAGTGCTGGGATTAAAGGTGTGAGCCACCATGCCTGGCCCTATGTGTGTTTTTTAACTACTAAAAATTATTTTTGTAATGATTGAGTCTTCTTTATGGAAACAACTGGCCTCAGCCCTTGCGCCCTTACTGTGATTCCTGGCTTCATTTTTTGCTGATGGTTCCCCCTCGTCCCAAATCTCTCTCCCAGTACACCAGTTGTTCCTCCCCCACCTCAGCCCTCTCCTGCATCCTCCTGTACCCGCAGCGAAGGCCTGGGCTTTCCCACCCTCCCTCCTTAGCAGGTGCCGTGCTGGGACACCATACGGGTTGGTTTCACCTCCTCAGTCCCTTGCCTACCCCAGTGAGAGTCTGATCTTGTTTTTATTGTTATTGCTTTTATTATTATTGCTTTTATTATCATTAAAACTCTAGTTCTTGTTTTGTCTCTCC